>NC_000013.11:85591616-85744457 GCF_000001405.40 Homo sapiens
ACCACCATGCCCAGAGGAAAAAAATGCTTTCTTTTAATTTGACCCATATTAAAATAATCTCCAAATGGCATCAAAATGAAAACCATGACCTTTAAGGTTTTACTCCTATTTCTATATATTTTCTGAGGTGGACCATTTGACTTCAGCCAATGGCTAGGAGGTACACAGCTTTGTAGATTTTGGCCCTCACAGTGGTAAACTGAGGGCTTAGTTAAATTGGTGCACATGATTTTTTATACTCAATATTAGAATTTACCAATAATTTCCCACTCTCAACATAGTAGCCCAGTATTAGACCTACTGACCTCCTGGATTAAAGCCAGGTATTTTAATAGTTTATATAATTAAAAGAATTTCCAGATTTTAAATATGAGTTGATAAAACAAACCCACAATGGATGAAGGTAGTCATAATTTTAATAAGTTGGTATGTTACGGTTTCACTCTGTAAAATATTACCTGAGAGCTACAGATACTATGTAGGTCTTGAATCTCTAATTAATTCACCAACTACTACCAGTTTTTTTCTGTATATTCATGTGACATATATTATGACTCAATTTTAAATATACTTTTCACTTTCCTAAACTCGTAAAGGCAAATGTTATTATGCCTATGGTTATTTTTACCTAAAATAAAACAGCAGTTCTTTGGGCAGATTATGGGAAAGTCAGACTGAGTAGAAAACAAACTCTTGATTCATTTAGTTATCTTAAGCCAGAGTGGAAAGGTTGCGATTAGATTCTTAGAATGCCTGGCCCACCCTGGGGCAGAGTTGTCTATCTCCCAAGAACACTTGTCAGGCTTCCACCATCCAATCCATTTCAATGTTTGCCTCTATAATATAGTCTTATTAATGTTTGGAAGGCCTCCAAGAAATTCAGGCAAACTTTATGCAAACATAAATTTCTGTTAGAGCATACTTTTACCCTGATGACTAGGGAGTGGCTCGGTGTCATCCACCTTCCTATCATGGGAAGGTTTCATGTCTTTAGGCATAGCAGGTAAACGCCAAAATCCCAATCATTTTGGTTTGGGAATCTCACAGGATCTCGAAGCACCATACTCACTTTAGTGCATGCTTCCTTCACAATCACTATCTTGTTTATGCACCCGTTTGTCTGCCTCCTGGGATTATACCATCTGCTTTGAGGGGACATACACATTTTTCATTGTGAATACTTTCCTATGCTATAATATGTATTTTTATGGGTTATTACAATTCCGATTTTAGTTTGTTAGGTATTTGTTATACACAGAAAATTGTCCTGTACAAACCTTGACATGAGGCCCTAATCATTAGAATACCAGTGGCAAGACCAATATCCGTATAAATAAGGATCATGACTGTTTATAGTGCTGGACCCCTGATACATGCCAAAAATGTGTTTTTACACAGTGAGACTAGGTCCTTTAATTCTCTTTTATAAAGACTCACTTGAGACCAAGAAAGGAAGACTGAAAACAAAATATTACCTTTGAATTAAAAGTTGAGGAGCCATCTGCAAATCACTCAGCAACTCTAATGCCTAAGGGCAAACCACCTACGAGAGGAGCTTCCAGGATTCTCATAAGACTCTTTTCTGTTGGTACAGATTTTTCTTTCCTAGAATATTTCTCTAGTAAAGCAGCCAAAGTTCTAACAAGAAGTAAAATTTTATTGGTGTTGGTCTTTGTCTCAATCTACCCATAGCACTTCCATTAAAGGGGGTCTGGTGTGTCCATCCCACCTTATGGCAATGAAATAACTTTCTTCAAGAAAGTCTAAGTAAGCATCTAAGAGCTGACATTTAAATGCAGAATTCTATTTTAAAGCTCAGAGACCAATATCATCAATACTGCTCAGGGACCTGCCACAGGCTGCATGTAGTTATATTGGCAAGAAAAGAAACCTATAGGGTCGCATTTGATCTTGGGAATAAACACCAAGAAAAATGTATGCATGAAACCTGTCTATGAGGCTCTCCTGGCACTGAGATTTTGGGGTTCCATGCAACTGTTTATGCACTTTGATTAATAGTTATCTTATGAAAACTCTATAATCTAATACCTAGATACATGATATGTAATCTTCAGAAACAAACCATGCTATTTTTTCCCTCCTTTCTATATTTGCCTCCAAAAAACAACTATACTCCCAAAGAATGCTTTACGTGGGAATCTCTGATTTTCCCCTGTTGAACAATTCATTTGTTTTCAAGTATTAAATCAATAAGTGAGCTAATAGCCTCAGTTGCATTTCTTTTCTAAATCTTTCTGATCATTATACCATCTAGGCAATGAATTATGTTAACATTAAATTATGTTAGACTATACTATATTAAGTTCTAACATTTAGATTTTGCCATAATTAATAAAAGTATTAATTAATTAAGTATTCCTGTGGCAGAGGAAATAAAAGATGAATTGCTGTCTCTAAGAAGTAAAATTTCTATTGAAGACTGAAATATACTATCCTAAAAATCATTATGGTCAGTGATGACATACCAACAAAGTGGGTTTTAATAAAGAGTTACAAATATTAAACAAACAAAAGCACACTGAGTTTATAGAACTTGTACCACTTCATCTAGTTTTCTATAATACTCAGGGAATGTTCATGATTATGTATCTCTTTCACAGGCTATGATAATGAGTTAAAAGAAGAAGTTTTGGAACATGCTATTACTTAGTTCCTTCACTCTGCAATTATAGTTGTAACTTTGCTTGAATCTTGTTGCAAAGAAAAGAGAATAACAAATGACTTTTTGGAGCAGGGAGCTCCTGAAATTTCAACTCTGCACGTCCCCTTATCAGTCTATTTATGCGCTTGCTATTGAAGAAGGACCTTATCCTTTCCCCAAGATAAACACTACTCAGCTCTAAAGACGCACATAAAGGAGTTAAAATTACTTCCAGAAATGTCTTTCTCCACTGTATTCAAGTTGTGCTGTTAGTACAATTCAGCGGCCTCCTGACTTTCAGTGAGCTGTGTCAGGCTACTATGATGGCCACCAGCACAGGATTCTTGCCCCTTTTGTCAGTTACCAAATACAAGAAGAAAGAAAGGTGTGGTGGTGTGTAATCTGGTGTTCCCACCAGCAGCGACCATCTGCAGCCAATGGAAATGTGAGGAAAAGGAGGAGGCCTAGCTTTCAAACCCCAAATCCCACAAGTGCTATAAACCTTCAAGAGAGGAATTCAACTCTTCTTGTCAAAGAAATAGGACAGAGTAAAAAAAGTAAGGGAAGAAAAAAAAATTCCTAAGCTTTTTTTCCCTGCTAATTTTCTATTCTACAGTCCTCAGTTTCCCTGAGCATTTGAGCTTATAGTAGCTTTGAACTATATTATGAAGGAAAGCTTAGGACTTATTTCCCTCATTGAACAAAGTGACTTTGGGTCATAATGCAATCAATTAATTTTTAAATTTGCCCTTTTATAACCATATTACTGAGAGGTGAAGCCAGCTGGACTTCCTGGGATGAGTGGGGACTTGGAGAACTTTTCTGTCTAGCCAGAGGATTATAAACGCACCAATCAGCACTCTATATCTAGCTAAAGGATTGTAAACACACCAATCAGCACTCTGTAAAAACGAACCAATCCGTGCTCTGTGTCTAGCTAAAGGATTGTAAACTTACCAATCAGCACTCTGTAAAAACGCAGCAATCAGCGCTCTGTGTTTAGCCAAAGGAATGTAAACACACCAATCAGCACTCTGTAAAAATGCACCAATCAGCACTCTGTGTTGAACTAAAGGATTGTAAACACACCACTCAGCACTCTGTAAAATGGACCAATCAGTGCTCTGTAAAATGGACCAATCAGCGCTCTGTAAAATGAACCAATCAGCAGGACGTGGGGAGGGCCAAATAAGGGAATAAAAGCTGGCCACCCCAGCCAGAAGCAGCACCCAGCTGAGGTCCCCTTCCATGCTGTGGAAGCTTTGTTCTTTTGCTCTTCACAATAAGTCTTGCTGCTGCTCACTCTTTGGGTCTGCACCATGTTTAAGAGCTCTAAGACTCGCCATGAAGGTCCAAGATTTCATTCTCGAAGTCAGTGAGACCACAAACCCACCAGAAGGAAGAAACTCCGGACACATCGAAAGGAACAAACTCCATACCTACCATCTTTAAGAGCTGTAACACTCACTGCCAAGGTCCACGGCTCCATTCTTGAAGTTAGCAAGACCAAGAACCCACCGGAAGGAACCAACCACATTTTCATTGCCATATTGTATTACCCTCCAGTTAATATATATATACACACACACAATAAGCAATCAAAATATCAAGAGATTTAGAGGTCAGCATTATCACTTGCTCCTACTTTCTATTACATATAATATTCAAATATCACTATAGAAATTTTAGCCCTCTGCTTGAGTCATGAATTACCTTTTCATACACCAAAATATAGTAATTTTGAAGAAGCAAATGAAAATGGTTTTTTCTAGAACTAAGCTGCTGCTTCAAAGTGAGAAGATTATTTGCAGTATTATATATTCTATGCTGGAAAAGATCTGATTGATAATGATATCGAATTTCAGCTTCATGATATCATTTCAGGGAGTCTTAATTTACAGGTACTACTTTATTCTTGGAATTGGCATTGAAAAATAAGTTTGCCTATTTCAATTGGGCTCTTTCTGAAATTGCTTAGAAACAGTTACTGAAATGGAGTTAGGACTCCAAAATTTTAATAGGGAAAAAAAGCCTGAGAAAGATGCAAAAAGAAGTATGATTGGGTAGGGGTTACTGTCAGACTGCAATGCATACTTGAACAAATCTTTCCAAATGAAGAAGGAGGCCCAGAGAAGGACTGCTCACTAGAGGAGTCCCAAGTAGGGTAGAAATGACTGGTTTGTTTTTTTATCCACTGCCTTGCTCTTTTATGGGCTACAGTTTGTCACAAGAAGAGCATAGCCTTAGCTTACAATCCAAATTGGACACTGAGTTAACAGTTAACTGCATTTCTTGCAAGAGAGCATTAAGTTTTCTTCTGAAAGGAGGTTTGAGCTGAGCATTTACATGTCTGAGAGTAAACCTGCAACAAGGAGATTTGTGAAAAGAATTACAGTCCCATCTTTGCATTTGGTCTTGGGACTGCAAATAATACTTATCATTTTCTTTCCCACTATTCATTCTAAATTATTCTCTCCTTAGCTACCACTTCTTCCAGTCCCTGTAGTTTGCCTGATAGTTTGACCTAAACCCTTATTTCAGAGGCATCTGAATAACTGATAACCTTTCTCCAGAATTAGTTATTGCAGGTGTTCATTTACAGTCACAGTTGGCAAAGATATACCAAGAGATAAAAGAGATTTTTGCCTGAATTTAACATATGCACCTCTGTGCCACTTCTGAGTAAATACAGAGAGTTACCTTTGCCTAATCAGGGTCAACTACCTCTGTTGAGATGAATACTCCCCTTATTGCATATTGGTCCCTGGACATAAGGAGCCCAAAGTTTCTAGCCAGCAGCCATAGCTTTTAAGTCAAGGAAACCTGATCTGTCCCAAGGTAAGAGTGCACACTCTGAGGATCAGAGTTACAGGGACAGGAAGTACAAGTCCCTTAGTGAGTCAATAGAAGTGATAAGTTGGCCAAGTTTGCCCCTGCCCTCAGTTTCCCCAACACACGTATTCTTTCTATAGGAGACAAAGTACCCTTTGATGCAATGCTCTCTAGTTTTATGTGTACACTATGCCCTGGAGGATGGCAACCAATATTTACATGCTATTTCCTCCAAGATGACACTTCAGTGTGTCTTTGAAACATACCATTCTAATACTCTATTATTCTAATACTTCTAGACAGAGCTGCTGGTGGTAGGGGTATGTGATATGATCAATAGATCCCATGGTCATAGGACCATCCAGTATCTTCTACACTGTTGAATTGATTTCCCGTTTAAATGTTGTGCTTGAGAATCAGATTTGTAAGTTCCTTCAAGGAGTGCTAGCTGAAGCTCTGTGGGTAGCAAAGGCAAAATTATAGCTGAAATTGTGGTCTATTCCTGTAAGAACAAATTGAGATACTTCCCATCACGGCCAGTTCATCTCTTCGAGTAGTAACATCTAACTGGGGCTGTTAGTCTATGTTGCTGACAGGTTGCACTATCAAAAGCAGAAGTAGCTAGATCAGTAAGGGCAAGTGGTCCATGTTGTTGGAATAATGCATAACTTGATTATCTGAAACCATGATGCCACAAAATTCTTAATAATTTTCTCTTGGAACTTGTGTTTTGTAACTGAAGTCCGATGAGACAGTACAACGTACAAGTAAGCATAGGAGATATGCACAGTATCTGAGTCCACCACAATTCTCAATAGTGCATTTATATGTAGTGTTCATGATGAGTCACGAAAACAAAATTTTGTGGATTGGTAATGTGTGGGAGCTTAAGGAGGCCCAAAGCAGTGAGGACAAGGAAAGCATGTTATGTCTGCTACTCAGTAAGCACAGGTGTTGATGCCCCTGAATCATCGTGTTCAAGCCAGAATTTGCTTTGCTGACAGAATAGCAATAACATCATGGATTGTGTTGTTCAAAAAATATGTTGAAGTATTAACTTCCAGTACCTGAGAATGTTAACTTATTTAGAGGTAAGGTTAAAATCCTGACCTCCAGAACTATGAGACAATGTGTTGCTGCTGCTTAAGCCACATAGTTTGTGGTACTTTATTACATCAGCCCTAGGAAACTAATTCAGATGATGTAAGAAACATGAAAGCACAGGGAACACTATTAAATGTTTTCTTTCCTGTATTACCTCCCTGTATTACTTCTGCATAGTTGTCAACCTCTAATGCTGGAAATGGCTACACAGGAAGGAAAAGAAAAACAAAGTAACCCATAGTTTCTTTTCCTTTAGTTCTTTCTTGTTTCTCAGTAAAAGGCAGAATGTTGATATAATGTGCAAATATCAAAAAGGGAAAAAAAAGAGTTAAGTCAGATTGGGTAGCATGTCCAGTGTTCTAGCAAGAACAAAATAAATATGCAAGTATGAAATATAAGTTGTTTATTAATTGCACTCTGGTTTTTATTATCCATCTGTGGGGTATTGATGCAACTGAGATATAAACATCAGATTCCATTATTTTCTTATTTATTATTTTATGCATACATTATAGATGCCTCAGTCATCACACCAGTTAATGCAACCTCCTACATTGACAAATTTTTCCAGGAAGACAAGTCAATTTTTTTTTTCCATTTGGATCTTCACCTTATGCTAGAGGGTGGGTCTGCCCTCCTGAAGACACAAGATGAGACCCTAATGCTCTAGTAGTCAGCAAGTGATCTCATCTAACTACTTCCTCTCCTGGACCATTCCCAGCATCGATATGGTGGTTGGGTTCTGAGACAGATTTAGGAAGGCAAAAAGGATTATTTGGGTTATAATCCCAAAGAAAAGAAAAGCGTCAAAGCTTGATTGGGCAGGGCAGCCATCAAATTAGAAACAGTCCTGACAAAATCTTTTCCCTGAGAAAAGAATATATTGGCTAAGAAGCTGAAGCAGACCCTGAGGCAGCTAATCATTGTGTTCAAAGCTGGGCAGAGAGTCTTTCCCAAAAAAGTATTTAAGCAAAAAAAGCTGTGTTTTCCACATTACCTACTTTTTCTATCAACATTTCAAAAGGAAATTTGTAAGTATTAAATATTATATTGCAGTAATAACCGGAAGTTTACCTTTTTGAGAAAAGTTCCCATCCACCTTAGCAGTTCTTACTTAAAAAAATGGTTAGTAGTCTCAATTCTTCTTGCTAGCAGAGAAGAGACAAACTTAATAGGTCAAGAAATCTTTAAGTCTTTGAAGGAGAATGGTGTCTTGGAATAAAAAAAAAAACTAATTTTAATGAGAATATCACATATATTCTCATTAAAAATCTATCTTAGATCTAAATTGGTGTTTTCATCAAATGCTAGGAGAAGTGTGGTAGCTGTTATCAGAATTACAGTGAGATTCTAGATTTTTTGCATAACGAGTGTAGAGTATATAAACTCAATATATTTTTGCTAAATTAATTAGGATTGGGAAAATACATTGTGGAACAAGTAAAACATTGTCAGAACTCAATGCAATACAAAATTAATTTCTCCTTTTTTTCATAACTCTTTAAGCTAATTAAGTCCTTGTCCACCAAAGACAGGAAGCCCTCTAGTCCAACTTCCTTTCATCTATTAGAATTACCTCTACACAATGCTGGAGGTTGGGCCTGGTCAGAGGTGATTGGATCATGGAAGTGAATTTTCCCTTTGGTGTTGTTCTCATGATAGTGAGTTATCATGAGATCTGGTTGTTTAAAAATGTGTAGCACCTCCCACTCCTCTCTCTTTCTCTTGCTCCTGCCATGTAAGACATGCCTGCTTCCCCTTCACCTTCTGCCATGATTGTAAGTTTCCTGAGGCCTTCCAAGCCATGCTTCCTGTAGAGCCTGTGGAACTGTGAGTCAATGAAACCTCTTTTCTTTATACATTACCCAGTGTCAGGTATTTCTTTATAGCAGTGCAAGAGCAGACTAATACCCTGAAGGACAGGATTTATACATGATTGCAAAACTGAAATAATTATTAGTTACTTCACTGGCTATCAGTATAGAAGTGTGCTAGAACACTGAGGAAATTTTACATTTCTCATTACCATAGAAATCAGAAATACATGGCCGAATTACAATATTTATTATGGTGTACCATGAGATGTGATGCAGTAAGTGCTATTAAACAAAATAGAATATCATACATGCAATTTGTTGATCTGTTAAGGACATGTTAAGTTTAAAATATAATAGTGTATTTAATAGCCCTAAACAATATTATTGAGATTTTTAACTTATATGGTCCTTTAAACAATATACTGTCTGTATCAGCTTCATTTTACCTTTGGTGTACCATTGGTCTTTCCCTAAAGAGAGTACAATGACTAAAACCCAGATTGTGATTTATCTTTCTGCAAGAACCTGTCCCATGCATTTTGCAGCTTTTCTTGTAAAGTAGATCGATTATCTATCTGGCGGTACTCAGTTTTCAGCCTTACATGGATGTGTTGGAGGCCAAATTGCATGTGCCTTCTTTACACTGGGCAGGTGCTCTCCAATGGACTTAGTTGTCAGCATTGTTTCTTATAAACAGCTTGTAAGAACTCCTTGTAATGTTGAGTTTATACGTTCTGAACATTATTATTATTATTATTATTTTGATACGGAGTTTCACTCTTGTTGCCCAGGCTGGAGTGCAGTGGCACGATCTCGGCACACCGCAACCTCTGCCTCCCGGGTTCAAGTGATTCTCCTGCCTCAGCCTCCTGAGTAGCTGGGACTACAGGCATGCACCACTAAGTCCAGCTAATTTTGTATTATTAGCAGAGAGGGGGGTTTCTCCATGTTGGTCAGGCTGGTCTCGAACTCCCAACCTCAGGTGATCTACCCACCTGGGCCTCCCAAAGTGCTGGGATTACAGGCGTGAGCCACGGTGCCCGGCCTGAACATTATTTTAATAGCTATAGAACTATAAGCAATGGATGTGCCATGATTTATTTCATAAATCCTTTTAGATTGACTTTAGTATTGATTGGATGTATGTTTTTTCTGTTGTAGAGTTGCATCAAATAACTCTGGACAAAATATTCACCCATTTCTTAAACATCCACCCATTTCGTAAACATTTCTTGTGATGAACTCTTAAACTAGATGTAGAATTGCTGGATCAGAATAGACTTAGAGATTTTAGAAACACTTTAGTCTTTCGGATCATCATCAGGCCCATGAAAGCATCCTGTATTTTTCGTTTGCACTATGTTAAGCCAAACACTGACCACTGCATATGTAAAAACAAATTTTAAAACATAATTGGTCAAAAATTGTGTAGTAGTTAATTTTCATTGTAGAAAAAAATAAAATAAAGAAAAATTTAAAGGAAAAATAAATGTACATATATGTTTGAGAATTTTATAAATGAGGAAAAAAAATTAAAAAATTGTCCTGTGGAATATGTGGACCTATTACTAAAAATAGCTTCTCAAAACGTTGTTAGCACCTCCTAGTTCTCTCTCTTTCTTATTACTCACCATCTGCAACCTTGTCCTTACAGAGTTTTTTACAGTAATGTCATGCTTATGTTTACAGATCTCAGCCTCACATCCTCAATAGAACATTCCCAACCCTCTTCACAGTGTACACACAGGCACTCTCTCTTTGTTACACACACACACACACACACACAGACACACACACACACACACCCTTTCCCTTATTCGGGGGTGAGGGGAACAAGAAGAAGCTATGAGGCCCCAATCTAAAATGATAAAGAATACTGCTCCATTATGCAGTATATATATTATGTATTAGTTTGCTCGGTTGTTCCACATTTTTGCCTTTAAATCATATATTTCTCTAACATTTTAGTTGCTAAGTTTAAAGCCATGGTTTATTCTATGTATAATGGGATAAAAGTCCTTATTAGTAGGTCTTTAATACGCATCTATATGTGTGTTATTTCAGGGGAATTTGAAAGGCAGGCTTTCTTCCTCAATAAGTCTTCCCCAAATCTCCATGTGTCTTAATTTAATTTCTTTAAATCGCATTTTGGAGTGCAGTTTTTATTGGTTTTAAATTGTAAATACCTCTGGATTGGTAACAACTTTGTCACAACACTTGGAATGAGAAATTTATAACAGCCCTGTCCTGCTTGTGAAAAATACGTAGAAACTCCCCAAATTAAGAGGACTCAGGTTAATCATATTTAATATATATGCTAAATTTATATAAGTATAGCTATGTGTATATAACATATTGGTAAGCATAATTATTTGAACACTTTTAAAGCTCAGATGTTAAGATATGAATACTTCATTTGCTTAAGTTTACAGGATTACTCTGAGGAGTAATCCTATAAAATAAGTAACACTGTTATCACCATTGGGTAGATGAAGCTTAGGAGAGAGAATTGGAGTAAAGCCATTCGACCAATAAAGGTTAGAGCTGAAATTGAAATCTAAGCTTAGTCGACTACTGTGACCAAAATTTTAAGTACAAGAGAAAGCATATAAAATAATTCCAGAATCCTGGATATTACTTTAGATGGACAGGCCTCACTAGGAAATTATAAGGGAAAGCAGAAAAGTCAAGAACCAGTCCAATTTAGCCACTATAAAGTAACTTTTATAGAAGTACTAAATGGTAGAAAGGTAAAAATAATAATAATAATAATTTACTGTTTTGCTTGGCTGAACTTATTAACTGGCTGCTGTCTCAAATTCTATAAGTTTGCAGTTTATTTTTCATATTTGAAATCAATTATTAAATCACATGTTTTTGTTTGTTTGTTTGCTTGCTTGTTTTTGAGATGGAGTTTCACTCTTGTTGCCCAGGCTGGAGTGCAGTGGCACGATCTCGGCTCACTGCAACCTCCACCTTCCGGTTTCAAACGATTCTCCTGCCTCAGCCTCCCCAGCAGTTGGGACTACAGGCACATGCCACCACGCCCAGCTAACTTTTTGTATTTTTAGTAGAGACGGGGTTTCACCATGTTGGCCAGGATGGTCTTGATCTCTTGACCTTGTGATCCGCCCACCTCAGCCTCCCAAAGTGCTGGGATTACAGGCGGGAGCTACCGCACCCGGCCCACATGCTATTTTTTACTCCTACCTTCCAACTAGAACAAAATGCCCACTGTTTGTTAAACTTTCCACATAGATATTCATTTCTTAATTCTATCATTATTTATTAGGTGACTGCTGTTTTCCAGCCACTGTGATAGATGGATGAAATAGTTACATAAATCAAAAGTAAACATTAAGAGTGATAAGGACAGGGATAGAGATATGCGCAGCTTACTGCAGAATATTTAAGATGGAGTTCCTTACGCAGAAGTGGCAAAAACATTAAGCCAAGGAATTGAAACACTGCTTCACTCTTTCATAGTGTTTTTGTGAGTACCACTTCTAAAAAGAAGTTCTTATTTAATGTAGGTAAAGGCTTTAAAATCCAAAACTCTCAAAAAAGTATAAACTAAGTAAAAAAGATTAATTTCAAGAAACAAACAGATACGCATTGAATTTATTGCTAAATAAGTTCTGCTTTTTTTACAAAGTTAGATACTCAAAATGAAGTCCTCTGTAGTTTTTCAGCTTTAGAACTATTACTAAATAGGCATTTTCCACTGTCAATCAAATTATATAGTTTTTATTTTAAAAGAGTCATTGGAAATGTAATTCTCTGGTGAAGGCTTATTACTCATGGAATCCTGAGGTTAAGGAGCAGACAAGTGACAGACATTGGTTAGCACTGCCATTGTGCTTTCTGCATGGGCCCTTAAATTATAGATAGTTAATTAGATTGAGAAGACTTAGCATGTTAGAAAAACAATATGAGAGAATGACAACTTGAGAAAGACCAGACCACAAATTAAGGTGTAGTCAGTTTGTTGCAATGTGTAACTGAGGGCATTGGTTCAGCGAAAAATGATAACTTTTCTAAAACAAGAATTAGTAGTCTATATAAGGATGCATTTGATACAGCAAAACACAGCACAATGAAGTAACAAAAAATTTCTGTCTTATGCGAATTGACTATATATATATATATATATATATATATATATATATATATATATATATATATAAATAAAGAACCTGGCATTTAAATTTTGACTTTTGCATTTGATTGACTCTGTCTATTATCAGTTTGCAGATTTTATGTTTCTACGTAACTAAATAAAGCACCTGATTCTGTTTCTCAATGTTTCTCTAACAAATCAAGAAAAAACCTGTATCTTTTGAAATAGGAACACTCTTAATAGATAAAGTGTCCTAAAACAAAACCGCCTTGGGTTTTTATGATACAATGTAGAATTAAATGAGTAATTTAAATTTGCATGCTCATTGGCTTGATGCCACGGTCCTGTAAAATTGCCAGCTTTACTAGTCTTAAAACTAAGGAGATAAGTAAGACTAATATTCTGAGTACCATTAATCTTTTCCGTTGAATTGTTTACCTGGGAGACGGATGAGTACATAGATCCTGTACCAGCAACTTTATCTAAATTGTTTCTGTGTCACCTTGATATTTCAATACCTAAAAATATTAGCTGGAAGAGATAATCTATAGAAGACCTCAAATTGCCAGGGTTTATTTTAACCCGCTACACTCCCCTTGTAGTTGTTGATAGTTTGTTGAATTAAGAATCAGAAGCATATTCTTTTAGGCATTTTTCTATCCAACTTTAACTACAAAATAAGATGTGACATTGACATTATTTTGCCTATATTAGAATTGATGTTAGAATTTAAACCATAGCTTATGATGTATTTATTTCCTAATTAATATTTTTCCACAGTGAAGAAAAAGTTAAATATTATTCACCAAATACTTGATCTAACAGACAAGTTGGCCAGATGTGGTACCTTACACCTGTAATCTCAGCAGTTTGGGAGGCTGAGGTGGGCAGATTACTTGAGGCCAGGAGTTCGAGACCAGCCTGGCCAGTATAGTGAAACCCCATCTCTACTAAAAATATAAAAGTCGGACATGGTGGTGCATGCCTGTAATCCCAGCTACTCGGGAGGCTGAGGCAGGAGAATTGCTTGAACCCAGGAGGCAGAAGTTGCAGTGAGTGGAGATCATGCCACTGTACTCCAGCCAGGTGACAGAGTGAGACTCTGTCTCAAAAATGATAATAATAATAATAATTAGTAATAATATAGAAGTTGACAAACATTTTTGAAAGGGCCAGAAAATGGCAAGATAGGAGATGGATCATGTACAGCTTTGTGGGTGAGAATTTTGTTTAATTCTTTATCTAATTCAAGCTCGTCCAACCTGTGGCCTGTGGACTACATGCGGCCCTGGACAGCTTTGAATGCGGCCCAACACAAATTTGTAAACTTTTGTAAAACATTATGAGACTTTTTGCAATTTTTTTCTTTTTTAGCTCATCAGTTAGTGAATTTTATGGGTGGCCCCATAAAATGTAGCCCAGGGAAGCCAAAAGATTGGACACACCTGATAATTGAAACTCATAATGTATTTGAAGTAGAGGAGTTAATATGATCTGATTTAGGCTTTAATAGTTTGTGTCAGCTGCCGTGAAGAGACAGCAATACGGAAAACAGTGAGAAAACTAATGTAATTGTCTACAAGGGTAATAATGGAGCTTGAGATAGGGTGTTGGTAGTGACAGTGGCAAAAAGGGGACAAATTAGGATACATTTTAGAGATAGACTCAACAGGATTTTCTGATGAATGAAAGAAAATGGGATGGAAATATGAGAATCACAGATAACTACAAGATTTGGTTTGACCCACTGAGTGTTTGCTCATGCCTGTGTTGAGATGAGACCTGAAAAGAAACAGGTTTTTTGTGGGGGGAGCTGGTTAACAAGGGTTCGGTTTTGATCAAGCTGTAAGTGAAACATCAGTTAGATATTCACATGGAGAGGTCAAGTATGCAATGGAATATACATGCCTGCAGTTCCAGAGAAAATGTATGGGCTGTAAAAACGGATTTGAGATATGAATCTCAAATGTGTGTATTGATTACATTAGAAGCCATAGAATAGGATGAGGTTATCTGCAAAGAATATTTCCATGGCAAAGAAAAGGACATCCATATCAGAGTCATAAGATACTCCAACATTTCAAAGCTTGAACAGAAGAGTAAGAGCCAGTATACGTGATTAAGAAGAGACGGCTTTTGAAGTAGGAGAAAACACAAGAATTTGGATTCTTAGACTTCTGTCGCAAGAAAGAGAAAATGGTCCGTTATCTCAGATGTTACTGAGATGTCAAATAAGAGAAGAACCTAGAAGTCATAGGTAAATTTGACTGCATCATCTGTGTTGATCTTTACAAGGACATTTTCATGAAGCTGTGGGAATGGAAGCCTTATTGAAATAAATTGAGGAAAAAATGTGAGACGATAGTTTAGAAACAATAACTTACATACTTCTATTTTCAGAAGTTTTGTTATTATATGGGAACAGGAGAATAGAGTGGTTAACTAGAGAGGTTTGCAAAGTGCAGGGAAGTTTCCTTTTTTGAGACAGGGTCTTGTTCTGTTGTCCAGGCTGGAGCGCAGCAGCCAAATCTATTACTCTCTGTAACCTCAAACTCCTTGGCTCAGGTGATCCTCTCACTTCTGCTTCCTGAGTAACTAGAATCACACTTGGCTAAGTTTTTAATGTTTTGTAGAGACAGGGTCTCACTATGTTGCCCAGGCTGGTTTCGAACTCCTGGGCTCCAACGAGTCTTCCATTTAGGTTCCTCAAAGCATTAGGATTACAGGCATGAGCCACCACACTCATTCTGGGAAGTTTCCTTTTTTAAAAGAGGAAATACTGACTGGGATGGGGTGGGTATGGCAAGGCACTGGGGAAATGTTGGTCAACGGATACAAAATTTCAGTTAAATAGGAGGAATAAGTTCAAGACAGTAATTGTACAACATAATACAGTTAATAACAATGCACTGTATGATTGAAAATCACTGAAAGTAGATTTTGTTCTCACCATAAAAAGTGTGTAAGGTTATGCATATGTTAATTAGCTCAATTTAGCTATTCCACAGTGTATACATATTTTGAAACATTATGTTGTCATTGATAAATATATGCTATTTGTATTTGTCAACTTAAAATATGAAATAATTAATTATGAATATTAAAAAGGCAATACAGGATTATGATTATGCCTTTGGCAATGTCGTCCACATAGTGTGGGGGTAATTAATGATGCAATAACACTGAGGAGAGGAATGAGCACAGAAGCCGGTGGCTGAAACAGGAGGAGATCCGGAGCATACTGAGAGACTTTGGTCATTGACCAGCACAAGGTCATATCATTCACAGTAAGACAAGGGAAGGCAGTGAGCGTATGTAAAGCTGAAGATGGACAACTGACTTGTTAGTGGAAAAATGGAGGAAATCCCCTCTGCATGCAAATTTGATATAAAGTCATGAGCAGCTTTAGGGCTAGGAAGCAAGGAGAAATGGAGATAGAATATGGAAAATAATTTAAACAGCAAAATGTGAGTACACAGGAGGACTGCACTAAAATTTCTAGGCATTATTGAGTGTCCCTTTGAAATCTGGAGTGAGGTTAAAGTGAGGCCAAGAAGCATGGACACATTCAATTGCTAGTAATGATATGCATTAAATGGAAATTCATGTTAAATTAGGTTATGATTTTTTGGTTGATACCAAGGGAGTAAGATTTAAGTGAAGATATTTACAAAATTTGGCAAATGTTTTATCAACTGAAGTTATAATTATTAGAAAAACAATAGAGAAACAACACTAGATCATGTAATTTTAAGATTTACTTCTTAAGACCAAAGGGAAAAATTTAATGTTATTGCCATGTTTTGACGTTTTATTAATTTTGCCTTTAAATCCAATGATTTCTCTGTCTCATAAATATATAAAACCTGATTTAAAGCTATCCTTTGCTTCAAGCAGTTAAAAATGAATCTGGAGTACTGTTTAAGGCCCAGAGTAATGGAGCCAAACAGACATGGGTTTGAATTGTGGTATCGGCTATTATTTATGTTCTCTTGGACAAATTTATATCTTTTATGATCTACTAGACTACATAATAATGGAATCATATCATTCATATAATATCCTAAATCAACATCTGGCATATAATAGAGCTCCATAAATATCGACAATTTGCTAGTGTCACTGTCATTGTTGCTACCACCCATGGACACGGCATTCTTTCGAGGACCCTTAGATGGACCCTAGGAGGAGCCCTAGCTGCTGTTCCCCATTCAACACCCCCATTCAGTAAGAGGTAGCCAGAAGGAGTCACCACCCAAAACCCCCAACGGCAGTTAGGGTGACATCTCCACAGGGAGTTATTAACAAATTACTTTAGGCAGATAGATAGGAAAAGGGGTTCTTGGGAAGTTTTTGTTTCCTTTAAAGCTGCTCCAGAAACCTTTGTCTACCAGGAAAGCCCCCATGCTTAGAGCCAGGCAGCAAGCTTTGGTATGCAAATGCTGGCCATTAGAAACTGGGTCCACCCAAACATGGCAATTCCCGCCCTCTTCTCCTTACCCTTGCCCCCACATGTGCCTGCCCCCACATATCCTCAGGTGTGTAGAACACCATGGCACCCTGCATTTACATATTAAAAGGCTAGGGTGGGAGGGCCGGGTTTTTCTGTGGGCTACGAGAGTGATATGACTGGTCAAACCAATTCCCTTAGCCCTATGCAAATCAGACACCACCTCTCCAGCCTTCCCTTTGAATCCCCACTCCCCTCGTCTCTATCTCTGTATGGGGGAGCTGTTTTCTTCTTCCTTCCTCCTTTCTTGCCTATTAAACTCTTCCCTCCTTAAAAACAAAATAATAATAATAATTTGGTAAATCAAGTTATCAGATTATGTTTAGTCCAATTCGGCATGCTGCCCTTGTCTGAAACCTCAGAAAAATCGAGACTATCAGTTGTGTACTTACATGAGATTCCCCTTTTCATATCTGTAAAACTATCCATATCAAGATAAAATCTATCTTCGTGAATTCCCCACAGGTTCCCCATTCTCTTTTTATTCCTCAGTCCAGAATTTCTCCCAATGAAATCACTGAAAAATTTCATCAGTTATTTCAGAAATTACACATCTCTTAGTCTATATTTAATTCTTACAGTGCTTGAATTATCTATAAGATGTACGTCTGACACCTTTTTATTCTTGAAACTGTTGGCCTCCTTGTTTTTACAGGATTCTGTTCCATTTCTTCCACTTTCTTCCCCATCTTATTCACTAGCTGTTCCTCCCATCACCCACTCACATACTGATGTTTTGGATTCCTAGTATCTACTCTCTTTTTGTCTTTCTCTCCACAGTGCTCCTCAACCTTTTGTGTAAATATTAGCTTCTATAGAATTTTTTTAGTGTCTAGATTGGTCTCTGTTCAGAAAGCTTTTTATTCAACAGCTTGTAGATGAGGCTTCAAAAAGTATAGGCCCTAAAGCACAGAAAATGATTCTGGCATATAACTCAAGATGAGAACCACTGTCTACACATTCTCCATGGGCTGTCTCACCCAATCCCAGCTTGTAATCTGTTCGGAAAGTCACACCTTTAATAACTCATAATAATAAAAGTCAGAATTTACATATCTGACTGAATTCAATAGCCTCTATATAATCTTCTTAACAGGGAAGATTTTAAAAAATAGTTAAAACTAGTAAGTACTCAATGAACATTTGGTGCATGAAAAAAGGAACAAATGATCCCCCTGCAAAAATAAAAAATAGATCAGATTTTTTTTTTTTAATTTTTGAGGATGGTAGTAAACTGGCCTCATGACATTATCATTGACAACTTAATTTGAAATTATTATCAAATAGGAAAAGGGAAACATATAAGTGGAAGACAAGATAGAAAGTGTTCTTCAATATCGCAATGTCAGCTTACTGTTATCTACTTCTGAAAACCTTGAAATGCAAGTTTCTTACTTAGAATCTGCCCTTTTAAAATTGTCTGCAAGATTATTAAATAAACCAGTAAAATATGATTTCATGCTATTGTGTTTACCAAATTGCAGATAACCAGTTTCTTCGCAAAACCAAAGGAATGTCAAAGTGCTGCTGTATGTCACAAACTCTGGCGCCAATTCTCAAGATGTTTAACTTTAAAATGTACCCTTAGTAAACAAAAGAAGATGAAAACCTTGGCAGAAAGTTAAACTGCCCACAGATGCAGACTATCATTTTCTAAAAGCCTCTAGTAGCATAGATTCTTCTTTCACTTCAGGGTGACACAGTCTGTCTTTGTTATTTTGTGAATCTATAGCTTGCACATCTGCATTGAATCTTATTTAAAAGGAAAAATATTATAAATTATTTTGCCTATTCATCATAATCGTAGTCAAGATGACTATTTTTTTTTAAAGTTTTACTTACTAAAATGCAGCTTTATTATTTGAATTAGGCATTTAGTTGGTTTACATTTACTTTGCAAAGACAACTTTTTGTTTGTTGGAATTATCACAAACTATGCTTTAAATATTAGAAAGTACACATATTATGAGATTTTAAAGAAAAATCTTGAGCAGTGTTGTCATGAGCATTAACTGGTATATATAAAATGTACCTAACGGAGTAGCTGACACATAGAACATAGCTAATGGAAACATTAATATTACTTGGTTATAGAATGGTGTTATATATTAGCTTAGTTTTGAGTTGGAGTCCCTACTGACTACAATTTAAATGTACAAACCACTTAGGTGATCTTTTGTAGGCCATAGGAGATGGAGAAAATTATGAGATTGTTCAATAAATTAGTGGTTCAATAAATATTTGAAAACATGTTATGTTCAGCCCAAGTAATTTGTCTTTCTGTTGGGTATAACTACAAATTAATAATTAGTTCCATGTGGATTATAAGTTTTACTTGGTAAATTAACTTGACATATACATTGGTATCCTGTAAAGTGAAAATATAAATATACAATTAAGAGAAATAAGTTTAAGGTAAATGACCAAGTAACATATGTACATCTTTCTGTTAATCAGCAGATCACCTTCAAAGCAGGTGGGAAGGTAGGAGCATACCAGAAATTTGGAGATGACTTTTGAACTACACCCACCCCTATGTTTACCCCACCCTACTCCTTCCTTCTATCCAAAATCTTATTTAAGGATCTTTGAAAAATTAGAATTGTTATTAAGGGGAGTAATTCTACATAAGAATACAGAGAATGCAGATCACTGTAACGTTAAAAATAACATGTTAATCATGGAATATTCTTGTCACTTAACATAGTTTAAACAAGATTCTGTGTATTTAAACAGAAAGATAATACTACTAAACATTACACAGCTTCTTGATATTTTCATTATTAATACACATGTTAAATTATTAAGTAAAATATTTTTATATGTATATGTATATATAAATTACATGTTTGCTGGGGAAAAGACAATATTTCTGCTTGTTTTTACCACAAAATAGATTAAAGAGGGTATGTACTGAATTCATATTATCAATACTAAAAATTATTAGTATTCTGGTTTCTGATCAGGTAAATACATTATCATTTTTAGTAATAATAATCATTCCCGGACACAACTCAGTGAGCATTTGAGTTAGAAATTGTAATAAGCCTTTCACTTAAAGTTTTTGCATTTTTCATATAACTTGAATTATTTGTTTTGTTAATTACTTTTAGTTATATTTATATATTTTTATACTTTACTAGTTCCTGGGATTACATATTTGATTATTCACAAAACACATAATTCGCTATATGTTTGTAGATACCACCGTAGAATACTTGAAACAATCATCCATTAACTCAAAAACATTAAATAATTTACACATTTATAGTCTTAATTTCATCAAGATCATACTCTAAAGCATTCTCTTTACCTACTGATACATCATATCACTGATATTATCTTCACGGTAATAGACCATATAAAGTAATGAGGTAGTAAGACATATTTAGGGCATTTATTTAAAATAGTATTTGTTTTGAAAACATTTGCTTTTGTAAACATCTTAGAAGAAATAATAAAACAGTACTGTAACTTTGCTCAATGTTGAGTCCTTACTTTTTTATCAGATAATATTGTTTTGTGTGCTTAATATTTTACTTTTTCAGAATTTATAGTGATTGTGAATGGAAACATAATATAGGCTGTATGCATCTGTTATTAGTATGCATGCATGAAAATAAAAATACTTAAAAATGATAGCCATTTAGAAAACAATGTATGATATTTAATATGCTGAGTTTGTCAGTTATATTTGTGTATAATGCTTATTCAAAAATTACCAGTGGTATACATACGTTTAAGGGTACATTTATTTCAAAGCAAATAATATAATTTTTAATTTGTCGATCAATTAACCTGTAATTTATGTTATTTTAAACGAGATTCTGTACCAAAGTGAAATGGGGGAGTTCCTTCACCCCTTCATGGGACTTGGGACAGGAGTGCGGCTCCTTTGCTTGGCTTCTGTGTGCTCAAACCCCTTACGGGATAGGGAGCACACAGATGAGCAGGTGCAGTAGCTAGGGTGAGCACTCTTGGGCTCCAGCCCCACGGTAGCATCTAGAGGTGTGTTAAAATTAATGCTTTTTTAGCTCTGCCATCCGCAGACAGTTTAGTGTCAAATCAGCTTGGTGGAGAATCAGAGTGACAGCCTTTTACACCCTGCCCTCTTGGTACCCGAGTCCTTGTCTGGCATCCAGGATGAATCAGGTCACTTGGACTTGAATGATGTTGACTGAGGAGATTTTACTGAGTGATAGAGGTGCAGCAGGATGGATGGGGAGCTGGAAAGGGAATAGAGTGCAAAGATGATCTTCCCCAGGAGTTTGGTGGTCCTGTGGCTGATCTCCCCTCTGACTGTCTCCAGCCAAACTCCTCTCAACATTCAGATGCTGTTTCTCTTCTTTCCTTCTCTGCCACTTCAGTCTGCGACTCTGCCACTCTTCTGCTCCTCTGTTCCTCTGCTCATGGAGCTTGGGGTTTATATGGGCACAGTATAGAGGCATGGCGGGTCAGAGTAGTCTTGGAAAAGGTAACATTAGGGCATGAAAATAGGAATGGCTGTTCCCATTGAAGATGGCAGGTTTCCAGGATTGAGGTGGGTGGGGCCTTTGCTGCGGACCCATCCTCTTCTACCCAATATTTCTCTGCCTCCTATCCATATCAGTAAAAGCATTGTAACCCCTTAATAAGACTTAGATATCTGAAAATCATAAAGAATTATAAAACATAATATAAATAGAAGTTAAAATGAATATATACCTATTAAAAAATAATTAGCTGGGCGTGGTTGCTCATGCTTGTAATCTCAGCATTTTGGGAGACTGAGGCAGGGGTACTGCTTGAGCCCAGGAGTTCAAGACCAGCCTGGAAAACATGGAGAAACCCTATCTTTACCAAACATACAAAAATTAGTTGGGTGTGGGAGTACATGCCTGTGATCCCAGCTACTCAGGAAGCTGAGGTGGGAGGAGCACTTGAGCCCAGGAGGTTGAGGCTTCTGGAAGGTTGAGGATGCTGTAAAGTTAAGGCTGCTGTGAGCCAAGATCACATCGCTGTACTCCAGCCTGGATGACACAATGAGGACTGCCTGAAAAAAAAGAAAAAAAATCTGAAGTAAAGTAAGGTTGTTTGTGTTATTACAGAATATTATAGTATCACTTATTGTTTAAGGGTAGAAAAGTATTGATTTAAAAAAAAAACCAGGTTCATACTCTGCTCCATCACCTCCTAGCTATGTAATCTTTCACATACATTTCAACCTCCCTGTGCTTGGGTTTTCTTGTTGACAAAATGGGGAATGTAGTATTTTCTGTCATATAAAAGATCTATGAAGATTAAATGTGATTATCTGTATATCTTCTTCCTGTTTCTCCCTCCCTCCCTCTCTCCCTTCCTTCCTTTCCTCCCTCCCTCCCACCTTCTCTCTCTCTCTTTCTCTCTTTCTTTGTTCTGGGTTGTAGTTGTCTACCTGTCTCTAAGCATGGTTTGGCAAACAGTACTAGACTTTTTCAGTATCTGTTCATACCTTTTCCCATTGTAAAAAAAGCTATCCGCTCTCCATGTTTATTCAGGATAGAGATGGCATTTCCAAAAACTCTTGTAGCTAGTTATGAGCATATGACTTGTTTCTGGATAATGAAATGTAAGTAAAAATGTTATTCGTGAACTTTTGGAAAACTATAAAATGTAGTCGATGTTCAAATTTTGTTTTATTATTTGGTGCTTATTTCATCTTGTTGCCTGATATGTAAATGTGATAGTGGATCTCATTCTAATATTTAGAAACAGTAATTAAAATCATACTTCAGGATTAGTAGGATAATCCAGAAAAAGTCTGTATTTATGAAGAATTATAGGACATAGTCACACACAATCTTTGGATTTTCTACTTCTGAATTTTAACAAAGTAGAGAAAAACTTCTTTGTCACATAAGACTCTGTTATATTGATTTTTTGTTGTTTACTTATAAACACACTAACATTCCAGATATTAAATTGACACGAGTATTTTCTGTAAAAGAACTATAAAGTAAGCAAAAGAATCTTAAATGAGAACTAATACTTTTTCTCCTTTCACATAATGTAGAGTTAAATGGTGACCTGAATGAACCAGAATGATATTAAACAAATTTTGAATTTAGGATTTGGTGTATTGTCTCATTTTATGGCATTGCATATGTCATTTACTAAGAATTATTTCTGTCATATTTGAAAACTGGAAAAGGTACAATCAAGAATGACTGGATTGGAGGTTATTGAAGTTGCTGTTAGGCAGGGACACCAATAGAACTCAGCCCTAAGGAATGCTGTTTTCTGAAGATGGCTCATTGATATTCAAATATAATTAAAGAAAACTGGGTGACTTGTGAAAATATTTATATTTTGAGGTCCTTAGTAAACACTTTTGAAGTTTCTAAAAAGAAAAAGTCAACAGCTTCAATATCTAGTTTTCTGTTTTGCATGTGTAACCTGTTGACTACCAACATTTTACAGCTGTTGTTGTATACACTGAAAATAAAGTTGACAGGCTAAAGTGAAGCATTTCCTAATGAATTCTTTGCCCAGTGATACAGGGCTGATGGTACATTAAGTTTTATTGTTGCTGTGACAAATTATCACACATTTAGTAGTGTAGAGAACACAGTTTATTGCCTTCGAGTTCTGCACGTAAGTCTGGCAGGTCTCACTGGACTAAAGTCAAGATGTCAAGGTGTTGGCAGAGCTGCATTCCTTTCTAGAGGGCCTAGGAGAAAATTTTTCAGAGTCTTTTCTGTCTTCAACCAGACACTTCTATTCTGTGGCTCATGGCTCCCTTCCTCCATCTTCTTTTTTTTTTAACTCTATATTTTATTTTTTTTATTATTATACTTTAAGTTCTGGGGTACATGTGCAGAACGTGCAGGTTTGTTACATACGTATACATGTGCCATGTTGGTTTGCTGCACCCATCAACTCATCATTTACATTAGCTATTTCTCCTAATGCTATCCCTCCCCAGTCCTCTACCCCCTGACAGGCCCCAGTGTGTGATGTTCCCCTCCCTGTGTCCATATGTTCTCATTGTTCAACTCCCACTTATGAGTGAGAACATGTGGTGTTTGGTTTTCTCTTCTTGTGTTACTTTGTTGAGAATGATGTTTTCCAGTTTCATCCATGTCCCTGCAAAGGTCATGAACTCATCCTTTTTAATGGCTGCATAGTATTCCATGGTGCATTTGTGCCAAATTTTCTTTATCCAGTCTTTCATTGATGGACATTTGGTTTGGTCCCAAGATTTTACTATTGTGAACAGTGCTGCAATAAACATATGTGTGCATGTGTCTTTATAGGAGAATGATTTACAATTCTTTGGGTATATACCCAGTAATGAGATTGCTGGGTCAAATGGTATTTCAAGTTCTAGATCCTTGAGGAATCACCACACTGTCTTCCACAATGGCTGAACTAATTTACACTCCCCCACCAACAGTGTAAAAGCATGCCTATTTCTCCACATCCTCTCCATCATCTGTTGTTTCCTGACTTTTTAATGATTGCCATTCTAACTAGTGTGAGATGGTATCTCATTGTGGTTTTGATTTGAGTCCTCTCACATGGCATTGCACTGATCTACAGTTCTGCCTCCTCTTCCACTTTTAATGAGCTTTGTAATTTCATTGGGGCCACCTAAATCATCCCAGATAATCTCAATTCAAGCTCCTCAACTTAATCATACCTGCGGAATCTTGTTCCCATGTAAGGTAACACATACATGGATTTGCAGTATTAGAACACAGACATCCTTAGAGGAGTCATTATTCTGCCTAACACATATGGTTACCAAAGAGATTTATAAAACATTGCATTATGATCACTAGGTTTCTTTCCATGTATGTATATTCTATGACTCACTAAGTACATATACTGCTGACTCAGGAACCATTACGTTTTAGATAATTGTATGTTTTTACTGCTCATCTTGAGTGTTATTTTTGCTATCAGTAAAATATAGCTATTCTTATAAGTTTGTCTAAAAGTTGATTTAACTAGAGAGGGAGGTCTTAAACATTGAGTGGCAATTCTAGAAGTAACTAAAAGAATTTTCAGAGAAAAGAGGTGCCTCTGTCTAACAAAAAGGATCATCTGCAAATTTTGGAGGTCAAAGAATTAGCATCTCAATCTACCACATCAGCTTTATATTTTATTTTCATTTTTATATTATAGCATTAAATACACACATATTTGCATAAATATAGCAAGTAAGTATGCATTTGCAAAAATTTATAGGTATAAACTAGGGTATATATACATATGAGTATATCTGTATATGTTTATCTTATCAATTTTATTTTAGAATCACATTTGTTATTAAATATTTGAAAGTTTGGCAAATTTATACTTTTTAATTAGCATTTTAACTTCTATAGCTTACATGCTAGAGGCATATTTGATATTGTTGTTACAATATCAATATAAATATTTAATATATTTTATTAAATATTTAATTATATTTAAATATAAATATTTAATTAAATATTTATATAATTTTATATTTATATAATATATAATTACAATATATAATTTTATATTTATATAATATTTATATAATATATAATTAAATATTTAATTATATAAATATTTAATTATATTTTAGAACATATTGCTCATTCATGACAAAGTAGCGGGAGTTATAGAATATAAATAATATCAATGAAATGGAAACACTTCATTTTATTATTCATATCATAGTCACTAATGCAATACAGTTTGAGAGCAGCTAATGAGGTATTTTTTAAATTACTTCCAGAATTTAATCAAGGAATCAATTTGAAGTCACTGTACTATTAACAAGGATTCTAATTTTAAAGAAAAAATAAGGACCATGTTGCCTCATAAGGTTGTGGGGTTCAGATGTTCACATCTGTACACATTTCATTCAGATCATATGTTTATTGTCCTTGGGTTCACTATGTGATTTCTCACACTCATCTCTTTACCAAATGTTATAAACAATTTTAAATTGTTTTCATTGTAATCTCAAATTCTGATTGTGTATGTAATTTATTTTGATGGGAAGAGTAAAAAGGAATGGAAAATTTACACAATGTTTACATTTGTTTCAATATATTTCAAAATATACTTCTCAGCAGAAATGAAAAAAAAATCCGTTTCTTGAAATTGTACTTACAGCTGTGCATGACCTTTTTTTTGTTTTTGCCACTTTTAGTGGTCACTCATGTTTATGCAAATCTCCAATTTAATCAAACAAAACCCACCAGTGTTTCCACTGAAACTATTTTTTTTACTTTAGCCCACAGAGTTATTTCTTTAAACAATGCATGTACAGTTTTAAGTGTTGTGTTTAAATATGTACACACTTAGGTTTTAATTTATTTTTTCTTTTGCATAGAAAATATCACAAGGATTCTTCAATAATTAATAATTGTTTTTAAATTGTACCACTTCTGTTTTTTGGGTTTGACATAATTTGCCTTTAGTATAAGCTTGGTTAAATTATCTTAATGTCATTTTTAGTTCGTTTGGTTAAGCATAATCAAGTTAGCATATAATGTCCTAATAAATTATAAAAATATTTAATTTTAATACAGCATCAACTTTAACTCTTTCCAAACAAGATATAGCTATTTACATGAAGGTTGTGTAATATCAGCGTTCCTCTCAGGTGGGTTTATATGCATGCAGTTTATTTTTCATGTTTTTAAAACATAGTCATTAAATGTAAATCACATAATATTACCTACTGATTAATTTTCTTGTATTGATTATTTAAAATAGATATTCAGAAGAGATTGACCTCCCTTCAATGTTTGAATTAGTAGTCTTTGAAAGATGGTTATTAAAGTATGAGTAATGTATAGGGAGAAAGGAAGAAACATGTCTTTCAGGAAAAAGAGAGAAAAGAAGAGAGAGACTTTCTTTTTGCCAAGATCACTTTTAGTCACTTTACTTTTTTAAAAACCTCCACTTTTCCTTATGGAAAGCAGTAAGCATGTTATTTTTGTCACTAGTTACATTCTTTACTCCTTGCATAGTTTCCACGCCTAGTATGTTTAAAGAGATGGCTATAAAGCTCTTATGATGTGGTTTCTCAGGGACACATTGCTCCAAAGAATGGTCTGTGCATGTTTCAGCACACAGTGAGCAGATGTGGGAAGTCATTCGGTCTGTGAAAGGGGAGATATGGTGGTGGCATATTTCCTGTATTTCAGGCGTAGATTCTAATGGCTTAACTAATATCGGGTAGCAGGCGTAGAGCAATAATAAAGATCTAAGGACATTGAGATAAAGACCTAATAAAGAAGCCAATTTCTTAAATCCAAATATTATACTTACCAAATCTCATATCTTCTCGAGGTTGATCAACACCAATATGCTTTCCTTTTTCTTTTATGGTTTATATAGTTATTTTTAAAATTACTTAATGTGATTTCTCTTTTTAAAAAACTTCATGATTTTTAATTAACATTTTATTTGGAGGTAATTGTAGAATCATATGAAGTCATAAGTGTTAGGGAAATATAATTAAAAAGAGTCTTCTCCCAAGTCCATAAAACCTCTCCACAAAGTAAAAGAAATGAAATTATTTTAATATTTAATAAGCATTAAATTAGAATGTAATATGCATTATAAGCAGTCAGCTAAGAGATGCAAAGACAGAGAAATCTGATCTTTTCTTATAGCCAAGCAGATACAACTCATTACGTATGTATTTTCAAATAAGCAATAACTAGTCCTCAAGAAAGAGGACAGACTTGGCACTATTTGTCACATGTAATTCATCCTAAATTCACTTGGTAATTGGGGTGACCACCATCTATGTTAGCTAATTGGCTTTATCTAGAGGGAAAACAAACTGCGTTATCTCTTGATGATAGGAGGTAGTTATGCAAATTGAAGCAAGGGTCTCGCCTTGCTAATTTGGAGGTTAGGCTCCTGCCTTCCCATAGAAACTAGGAGATAGGGATGATGTCTCTCTTGAGGTTTGTATTTCAGAGAGAAGTCTCTCAAGTTCTTGAGAAAGCCAATCCTGGATCATAAGAGTGACAAAAAGGCCATCTAGAAGTCAAAAGGATTTACATACATTTCAAAGAGAGGAGAAAGTACTTACAATTACACATTTTCTAAAGTAAGTGCCTTGAGAAAAAAAGAGTACTTCTTATCTTCCCTTATTGTCCACAGAGAGAATTATGCCTCTTATTTTAATTTACATTTGTAATTACATAAGAAATAATAACGATGAGATCCTGTGTACCCTTTACCCAACTTCCCCTATAGTAATGTTTTACAAAACTGCAGTACGTTATCAAAACTTGAATATTAATGTTGATAAAGTAAAAAAAAAAAAAAGAAAATGTGGATTTGTTGATATTTGTTTCAGTTGCGCTTTGTAAGAGAAATAGGAAAAATGCAACTACTGCCTCTTCTTGGAAGAAAAAATTCCATCCTTATGATTTTTAAGCCTTCTGTTTGGTAGCCAACCAATAGACAATTATCAGTGTCTATGGTTTATTAAAGACAATATATTCCCATACCTTTGAATATATAATCAAATAAAACATGAATTATTTGAGTTTTATTCATGATTTTGATTAGGTATACCTCTTCTCTCCTTTGTGAAAAGTATATGGGATGGATTATACTGGTATGTTTCATCGACACATATGTAGGTTAAATCAGTACTTGACAGGTTTACACTACATGAATCAGTAAAATTGAAAGAGAAAGATTAGAAGTTACCAATATTGAAGATTTGCCAGCTATTTATTTTGTAAAGTAAAAATGAAACAAAATTTTTAAGATAAACATTCACTCTTTTTTTTTTTTTTTTTTTTTTTTGAGATGAAATCTTGCTCTGTTGCCTAGGCTGGAGTGTAGTGGCACTACCTTGGATCACTGCAACCTCTGCCTCCCGAGTAGCTGGGACTACAGATGTATATCACCAGGCTGGCTAATTTTTTTTTTATTTTTTTGTAGAATAAGTTTTTGCCATGTTGGCCAGGCTGGTCTCGAACTCCTGACCTCAAGTGATCTGCCCATCTTGACCTTCCAAAGTGCTGGGATTACAGGTGTAAGCCACCGTGCTCTGCCAGCATTCACTGTTTATTATCATAATAATGTATTTCCAAGTAATGAACATTTATTTTATCACCAAAATGCATACAGGTTACATATTTAGAATAAATAACTGATATTCATCACATAGGATAGTTAGAAACTTTATACAGCCAACATTTTTCTTATAAGTGAGGCATTTACAATTTTTAATAAAGAAAAATACATAAAACTTTTTGATAGTATAAGAAAAAATGGCATACAATTTTATTTTGTGGTCAATCATTGATATAGTAGGTGTCTTGACCCAAGTTTTTAAATGTGGTAACCTGTTTCTTGCAGTACAACATAAAGTAGAGCACAACATCCAACGTGTTTATATATTTCATTTTTATGGGCCTTATAAAACAATTCAATTTTATATAGATATTTTTTAAAAATTGCAAGTACTACTAATTTACTTGATTATTCAGAATATTCTAGAAAACTAAGAAGATCTAAAATTCAGTGCCCTTTAGGCTGCCTATGCCACCAGTTGGTGACATTTCACCAGGTGTGTAGCCAGTGAAGGCTCTAGACAGGAGGATTCATTGTGTAGCCAACATATTGGCTGAGGAACACAGGGTTGTGATTGTTCCACAAGGATCACCTAAAAATTTAGCTGAATTATTCACAGTAGCCGCAATATGGAATCAATCCAACTGTCCATCAATGGATAAACAGATTTTAAAATGTTATATCTATGTTATATATAATATATATAAAATGTTATATATAATATATAAATATATATATAAAATGTTATGTAATATATATATATACACTGTGTACATATATTATATATACACTATATATAATATATATATAATGTACTCTGTGGAATATTATTCAGCCATAGAAGAGAAGAAAATCCTGACATTTGTGACAACAACATGGACAAATATGAAGAACTTATGCTAAGTAAAATAAACTGAACACAGAAAGGCAAATATTGTCTGATTTCACTTACCTATGGAATCTAAAAATGTCAAAAGTATAGGAACAAAAGTAGAACAGTGGTTGCCAGGGACTAACTCTGGGGGAAATGGAAGGATGTTGGCCAAAGGTTTCAAATTTTCAGTTTTAAGATGAGTAAGTTCTAGGGATCTAATGTACAACGTGGTGACTATAGTTAATACTGTATAGTTTACTTGAAATTTGCTAAGAAAGCAAATTTTCAGTGTCCTCACCCCCCATCCCCCCGCACCCCCAACACACAAAGGGTAACGTAACCATGCATGGCAATGGATGTTAATTAATTTGACTGTTGTAGTCAGTACACAACATATATGTATAGCAAATCATCACACTGGGCCCCTTGAATGAATACAATTTTTAATTGCTAAATTTATATTTTATAATTAAAAAGTAATTAACTGAAGTTGAAGCCCTGGGCTGTAAATGTTGCACCAAAAGTAAGTATTGGTTCAGTGATGTGCAATAGTGAAGTACTGAGTAAATGAAAGACTAGACCTAATCCAAGGTCACTCTAAATGTGAGCTCCTTTCCATCTAGAGAGAAATGGACAAGCAGCAAATGATCTTTGGAGAAGATGTGGAATCCTAGCCATTGAAGGCAAGGTATTTTATTAAATTTTTGCTGTCATAGAACATCTGGCATCCTCATGGATGGGGGAGTCAATGTTCCAAGGAGAGAGGTAATTGCACTTCTAGGACAAGATAGTAATAACAGCTAGATAAAAATGTGGTGTTAGTAGATTTTTTGAAAAGTGATATATGGAGGAGTTTGCAAGATGAGGAAGGCAGTAAACTTGGAAAAAGGGTGACAAAAACAAATAAATGCCAGGCAAATGAATGTTTCAGGCGTGTTTTTAAAAATATTAATAGTTTTTTAGATTACTAAATCACCATGTTTGTTATAGAAGTTTAAGGAAATATTGAAAAATATACAGAAGAAAAATATCAAATCATTCATAACTCTCTAACCTAAACAGATTTGCTGTATAAACATTTTTCCTTACTTTAGGAAAATAATTACAAATGAACTTGGAGATTTTTGCATTTGTTTCACATAAAAGGCATATACTGTACAAAGACCCACACAGATAAGAAAATGAGCTTGATACAGCTTGGATAGGAAAGAGGTGGTGACATACAAAGTCAGAAATTTTAAAAAATAAAAAAAGACTGGCATATAAGAAAACCTAAAATATTTTAAACATGGTAGCTCACTAATGATCACTGTTAGACTTGTCCTTGAGTCACATCAAACATTCAGTTGCACAGAATTCTTCTTGAAGATTTGCTCATAGTTTAACCACACTGCTGTGAAAATGTACATCTAGGAAGCCGATAATAGAATGGTAAAACATCATTAATTTGAGGGATACAGCCTTACGGATAAAATTGTCTTTATTATTGTAGTTATCCTTGTGGTGCATTTGGAAATTTTCGCAGGTAATTCCCTTTGTTTCCATTGCAACAGAACGCGGGAAAATAATCTGGTCATTTATACGTCATTTAAAATGTATTATATTTTTTTGTGCATGTGTGAGACAGTCTTGCTTTGTTGCCCAGGCTGGAGTTCAGTGGCATGACCTTGGCTCACTGCAAACTCCGCCTCCCGGGTTCAAGCTATTCTTCTGCCTCAGCCTCCCAAGTAGCTGGGACTACAGGCACGTGCCACCACGTCCGGCTAATTTTTATATTTTCAGTAAAGATGGGGTTTCACCATATTGGCTAGGCTGGTCTTGAACTCCTAACCTGGTGATCTGCCCTCCTCAGCCTCCCAAAGTGCTGGGATTACAGGCATGAGCCACTGCATCTGGCCAAAATGTATTATACTTATTAAACATCCTTAAGCCTTGAGGATATCATAAGGAATTCAATTTCCTAGTTAAACACTTACTTTAAATAAAATATGGCATCTAGTGGCACACATAACCTTCAAATGAGCCAAAATTAATCACTTGTGATTCTGAACTAAATTCATAGATTTACTATTACCAAATTCCTGGAAACATTTATAATAACTATTATTGTTGACAAGATAGTTTCAAGGACATTAATATAGCAGCATAACATGATTATTTAATATAATAATGTGATGACAATACACATATGGTTGCTACATTTTGAACATAAAATTTTTATTTTCTAAAGAACCGTATTATAGATTTTCAAAAACTGAATAGTGATATTTTTATGTAGCCAAAGAATAATGTTAAAAGTATACAATGTTTCTTCTTGGTACATAATTTAAGGATAACAATCACTGATTTCTCGCCTACTCATGAATATATGTATGTGTGTACACACATATATGAGCAAGCCCATGTCTACTATACAGACTATCTGAATACGTAGATATGAAAGATAACTGTCCTGAAACTTTTCTCATTGTTAACCCAAGTATTAAAAACAATGCTGACCCTTTAGCTGTGAACTCTTCTGAGCCAGATATGTGAAAAAGAGTGAATATGCAAGAGAGGACAGAGCTATTTAGATCTCTGGTTTTTCTTGGGTGTTAGGAGAAAAGTATAATGAGGTGATTAGCACTGACATTTTCCTCCGATACAGCATTAATTATTTCAGAGTCACTTTGATGCCAAAGAATGATCAGAAATCACAAATAAAATTATTTATTGAAATACAGATATATTTCCAGAATATTACTAATTTCTAGTTTAGTTAAATATGGTATTCACCAATTTGAACTGGGGCTAAAAAACGGTCTCCAGGCCCAAAAGATCACTTTTTACATATCAGTTTGCCTGTAAATAAATAAATGAGAATTGTACAAGGTGCAATGTGGAATTTCAAGCCGGAACAGAGTACAATGAGAACAGACATGAGGCTGATAACAAAATTTATGCTAATAGAGATTAATGGTTGAGGTTGTAAAATCAAGGTCTGTAGCCTTCAGAACATATTTTCTGATGATTTCAAATTAGTGAATTATTTCCTTTCTTGAAATTTCTATTCAACTTAAAGGTCATGATACATATTTTTATTTATTATAAATACTTTCTTAAACGATAGGAATTTTTATATCACAAAATTAATTGTAATCACTCTTGAGAATAGGAGTCATTGTTTCTAATGTTGTGTTTCTCACCATCCATCACCACAAATGTTCAATAGAAATTTCTCAATGCTTTTAAATCAGTGAATTAATCAAATGATTAATAGATGAGATAAAATAAACCAGAGTTGTTTTTATAAAATAGTATAAATCAAGAATCATGTTTTTCTAAACTTTGATTTTTAATATCTATTTTTTTCCTAAGCTACCATGCGTCTTCAAAGATTCAATTTGAATCTTTTTAAAATAAATTGTGATTAATGATAAATTAATAATAAATATTATTCTAATTAATAATAAATTAGATTTTTTTATACTTGTTGCAATCGCTAACTACACGTTTTGTTTCCTATATTGTCATACTTATAAAAGCTTATAATTTAATATAATAGCTTTTTATATTATATATACCTATATATGTATATACACACATACATCTATTCATGAGTAGGCTAGAAATTAGTGATTGTTATCCTTAAATTATGCACCAAGAAGAAAAGCCATCTGCAATGCTTACATATACACAAGACACTAATTAATACTCCTGTCTTTACTGTCACTGTCAACACCTGTATTTTTTATTTCCCTAGTTTAAAAATTATTTTAAAAGTGTAGAGGGCTGGGTGTGGTGGCTCATGCCTGTAATCCCAGCACTTTGGGAAGCCAAAGTGGGAGGATCACGAGGTCAGATGATCGAGACCATCCTTCTGGCTAACACGGTGAAACCCCGTCTATACTAAAAATACAAAAAAAAAAAAAAAAAAAAAAAAATTAGCCAGGTGTGGTGGCACCCGCCTGTAGTCCCGGCTACTCAGGAGGCTGAGGCAGGAGAATTGCTTCAACTTGGGAGGCGGGCGTTACAGTGAGCCGAGATCGCACCACTGCACTATAGCCTGGGCAACAGCGTGAGACTCCATCTCAAAACATAAACAAAAACAAACTCAAACACAAACAAAAAAGTATAGAAACAGGTTTTATAATACACAAAAATCATTTTAAAGAAGAAACAAAGTAATTGCAAAATAGACTCCTCATATAATCAGATAATCCAAAAATGTTTAAGCCAAAAAAAATTGTATTCATAAAGAAGAAAATGGTATTAAAATTTATGGATAGTGGTAGAAAAAAAAGACAATTTTGAAGTTATCTTTAAATTATATTTAATATGTTCAATTTGTCTTTCAGAGATATTTTAGGTTATCAAAATGACAAATTAACTTCTTAGAGTACACTAATTTAATGGGTTAAAAATGTAAATGAAAAATTGCCATATAAGGCAACTGTTTTTTAAAACAAGGATGAACCCTTGTTGAAGAGAAATAGACGTGTAATCCACTAAAAATAGAAATAGTTACCTGTTGTTAAAATTATTTAATGTTTAATAATTTACTTGTTATTATACTTTAAGTTCTGGGATACATGTCCCAGAACTTAGAGTATAATAATTTACTTTTCTCTTCAGAAAACAACATTTGTTTTAAAAAATACTTGCATTTTACTCAATAAACTATTATTTCAATTAAAGAAAATGAATATACATCCTTTACATTAGCTAAATGAGTTTGGCTTAAAATGTGTATCTCCGATGTAAAGAGGTATTAAAATAATGTAGGTACTTACAGAAAACATACCTTTGCTAAGGTTAACTTCGTGAAGCAAATGTTTAAATCAAAATATTAAAATCTTGAAAATTTAGCAAAAGTTACATACACATACTATTTAATATACATACTGTTTCAAATAAAAGCTTAGTTTAAATAAGTTCAAGTTGTACACCAGTCTCTTCAGGTAAAGCATCAGACATTGAGACTACTTTTAATTTTATAAAGTGAATTCATAATAAAAATGTCTACAATATATTAATATTTTAATTTCAGAAATGTATATTTTTATTATAATAGTGAATATCACAGATAAGAAAAGAACAGTGATAGACTGAGGTTTTTTTTAATGAATGTCAATGTGCAAAGTAAAAATGCTTCAAGTCAAGGACAGCAGTAATTGTGTGAATTCTAACACGCAGTAATATAAAATGCCCATGTCAAGTTAAGCAGAAATGACATTTTGAAAAGCCTCGACATGTACTCAAAATGATATTGTGTGATAAAAGAATTGACGAATGGAAAACACTTCTAAATTTCCTAGTACTCTCTTGGGACTTTCCAATTCTAAAGATTTAATACATACTGAACAAAGTGTGGGGATACCTTTTAAGCCTCATCTATCACTAAAGAGCCACAAAGTTATATCCCGAAAAATAGTTTCATGCCATAAATTTTACTAAATGTATTGAGTTATCCAAAAATAAAAGATCAATCTTGAAGACAGTCTGATTTTTGGCATTTTGATACATAAAACCATTTATTATTTTATACAATTGAATAATTGCTTTAATCGCTTACCACAGTAATTGTATTTTCTAATTAATCGAACCAACAAAGTTTTACTTATGTTAAACCTATAAATATTGACTATAATTTGATTATAACTTTGTAATTATTTATTGTGAACTCAAAATATGTTTAAACATAAAATAGTTTTAACCTGTATCATCAAGGGTATATAACAAATTAAAAGTATACTAAAATTTCGTTACTCACCTACTAGATTGGTAAAAATCCTATATTATCAAGATACACTGGAGAATCCCGAGTAATGTAATTTTGAAACATAATTGTAAATAACTCATTATATTTCAAATATAAGTTTTCTAATGTTTTCAAAAGCTGTGGTTGCTGAAGAGTCTAGAACCTCTATGCCCCAGTTACCTCCTGCCAATGGAGCATTAGTGATTGTGCTAACCCAATATCAGATTCAAGATGTGAAATTCAAAGTATTTGAATGTTTCCGAGGCTGATCTTCACCCAGTACATTCACTGGCTTTGGTGAGGTGGAAACATATGTATCAAGCACATTGTATTTATATCCATCTGTGGAAACATGACGATTTTTTTTAAATTTAAGATTTAGTTCAAGAATCTTATTAATGTAAAATGGCAGGCTTTCAGATATAGTGGAATAAAACCTATTTCTATTATTCCAAACTATATATATATTATTATTCCAAACTATATATATATATTATTCCAAACTATATATATATAATATATATTATTCCAAACTATATATATATATTATTTCAAACTATATATATTATTCCAAACTATATATATAATATATATTATTCCAAACTATATATATATTATTATTTCAAACTATATATATATTATTCCAAACTGTATATATATATAATATATATATAATTCCAAACTATATATATATATATATGGCTCTACTAGTTTACCTTACCATCAACAGAGTGTAAGAATTCCTCTTGTCCACATCCTAGACACCATATATTAGCTTTCATCGTTTTGATAGTAGCCATTCTAATTGGGGTGAGGTAATATCTCATGGTAGTTTTGATTTGCATTTTCCTAATAATTTGTGATTTTGAGTATGTTTTTGATATACCTGTTGGTCATTTGTATCTCTTCTTTTGAGAAATGTCTATTCAGATATTTTCCCCATTTTTAATCACATTATTATTATTATTTGCTATCTCGTAATTTGAGTTTTTTTAATATATTCTGGATATTAATCCCATGTCAAGTGGCATATAGTTTGCAAACATTTTCTCCCATTCTTTAGATTGTTTATTCTGTTGAGTGTTTATTCTGTTGATTGTTTACTTGGTTGTAGAAACCTTTTAGTTTGACTTAATCCTATTTTTCTATATTTGTTCTTGTTACCTTTTTTTTTTTTTTTTTTTTTTGAGATAGAGTCTCTCTCTGTCTCCCAGGCCGGAGTGCAGTGGCGCGATCTCAGCTCACTGCAAGCTCCGCCTCCCGGGTCCACACCATTCTCCTGGCTCAGCCTCCCAAGTAGCTGGCACTACAGGTGCCCGCCACCACGCCCGGCTAATTTTTTGTATTTTTAGTAGAGATGGGGATTCACCGTATTAGCCAGGATGGTCTCGATTTCCTGACCTTGTGATCCACCCACCTCGGCCTCCCAAAGTGCTGGGATTACAGGTGTGAGCCACCGTGCCCGGCCGTTACCTATGTTTTTTAAGTCTTATCCAAAATATCCTTGCCCAGACCAATGTGATAAATTGTTTTCTCCAAGTTTTCTTTTAGTAGTTTTATAGTTTTGGGTTTTATAAGACTTTAATCAATTTTGAGTTCATTTTTTAAAGTTTTATATGTATAATTTAAAGCCTTTCATTATATATATATATACACACACATATATACACACACACACATACACACACACACACACACACACACACACACACAGCCATCAATTTAAATGACATTATCTTTCAGAAGAAATTGTTCCTATGGTACCTAATACAAGATAAAGATATTACATAGAAAAAAATACTAGAATTCTTTAAGGGGTGACCATCCAAAAAGATGCATGTCATCCTTTTGCACTTAAATATGCCATGTTTTAAATTTTTGAAGAGGAGAGGATGCAGGGGAAGGTATTGTCATTAGCAATACACGTGGTCTAGAGTGCAAATCATGTAGACTTTTGTCTTGTATGTTGATGTTATGAAACTAAGAGTTCTGAATTTAGTAAAAAAAAAACTCCAAGGAGGAAGAAAAAATAAATATATTTATATAAAATATAGGCACTATGTTATATATGGGCACTATATTATTAGGCATTCACTGTGTCATAGTCCAAGCTTTGTTTTTATTCAGTTGGACATTGCAGACTGCAAAAACAAAAGGACCAGCATTTTCATCTTGCACATTTTATTACCCCTTTGTTTAAATAACAAAAAGTACTGCTGGGAGGCCAATTGTAGAGCTCACAGGCCACATCAACTGATGAACTCCAGGATGCTATTCAGACCTCAGTATTTTCTAGAATACTAAAAAATGCTGGCAACAAAATAGAAAATGGATAAGATTAAAAGAAAGAGATTAAAACATATTCAAAATCCTCATCAGACATTAAATTATTCTCCTAAAATCATGCAGTTTCTATTTCATTGTCTACCCAAAACAAAATAATCATAGCAATTGGAATGTCTTCTTTTATTTATAATGCCAACATATAAGGTGGTCCTGTCAAGATTAATTGTTTTCATTATATTGTTTTGAGTTTTTATATTCTTCACTTTTATTACTAAGAATTTCACTGCTGTCTTTTCTGTTTATTTTTGGAGAAGAATTTCAAACATATGAGGGTAATTTGGGTGTTTTTTACTGTTTAAAAACAGTGAAAGATCTATTAATAGTCTATAATTATTGATTTCAGTATCTGGAAACAAATGTCTAAAGTTTATTCAGTTTGATAGTAAATAATTAGTAGGCCAATAATTTCAGTGTTATTGATTCATTACATATTAGCCAAATTGTATTTGTATGTAGAAGGATTTAATCAGCAAGGGGGCACTTTCTGAGGTTCTCTGTACTGGCCCTGTGGCCCTACACATCTGATTTCTCTTTTGGCTGAAATTTTCACTGGGAATTGTCCCATCTTCTATTCTGATTTCCAAACAAAGCTTTATTCTTCCTTTCCTATGTAAACTCCTATTTGTCCTGTGAAACTTGTTTCACATACCTGCTCACTAAAAATTTTCAACATTATCTGATTAGCCAACCGATATTTATTTTATCCAGTCACTGAGTTATTTACATTCTTCAGTCTCATAAATTTGCACATTGTGAGAATTCCTCACATGCAGAAATCTGTTTTTTTTTTCTGAAATCCCAAGGCTTAGCATAATTTTTTCCTTGTATAGAAGAAACTAAATATTTGAACATATCAGTAAGTGGAAACTTCCATGTATCCTCAAAATGATGTCTCTTGTAAATAATATCAACGACAGGTTCCAAGACTCGCCATTCAGATGGTATTTTCCACAAGCGTCATTGTAAGAACAGTATCTCATTGTAGATGAAAACCTTTTATTTTTAACCACACATAATGGTCAATAACCATCCAAACTGAAAGTGCCCCTTGTCATTTGGGAGATTCTGTCCCAAAACAGTGGTTAATTATAATGTCACTGTATGGTCAGAAGCAAGTACTTAATCTTGGGCAAGCTCTACTCCAGTTATTCTTTGAGCTATGCCTAAATGGAGAGAGTAGGAATTACCTTCTCATATTCTAGAATTAAGCTATGCCTATGGTACCGTTCAAATACTCAACAAATGTATGCCATTTTAAAGGCCTCTAGTCTGTCACCCTGATACCATCCATTACTGCATTTTGTTTTCATGTGATAGCACAGCAAGTGATATTGAATAAGTTGTATATGAGAAGTATTCTGATTCTTCTAAGAATACTTTTTCCAGGATTTTTACTGTTTGAGTCATAGGTTAACTAGAGAATAAGAGACTGAGACACTTAGAGCTAATATAAAATAGTGAAATCTTTTTCTACTAAATTTGAATAATAGAAGTAAAATGAATAATCCCAAATATTTTGTTTTCTATACCAGAAAGGGAAGAAGGAGACTTAGAATTGATAGAAAAAAGTCATTTTTTAAAGAAAGTTTGTTTTATGCCAAGGTACAAGTGATTATAGCAGTATGCATTTTTGTACTAATTACCACTTATTTATATATGGTATATGCCTCCAAAAGACATACTGTTTCACATAAAAATAATAACCATCATCTAGAATATATTCTAAGGAAAACAACACATTTTAATGAAAATAATGACTAACAATATTATTGCACACTTACCATGTGCCAGAAACAGATATTTTAGATGGATTATCTCAATTAAACTTAACAAACATATTATGAGGTAGATTTATTTCATTCCCATTTTGTTGGTAAGGCCATTTTCAAAAGTCTACACCATTTCCCGCTCTCACAAGTAGAACTATGACATTATTCCATCCTTGCCTAGTAGAATTACATAAAAATATCATTTATTAAATATTTTCTAATTTTATGGGTACACATGGTAAAATATAAAATTGGTTTCCTTGGAGATTTTTTGTAAAAATCAAGGCAAATCACCTCTTTATTTCATAGTCTTTCTTCCATCTTAGAGCTTTATTGCAGGAGGTATATCATGTAGAAAGCAGCATTTGAGTTGGCAGCTGAAACAGGATTGGAGCTCTCTGCAAAGCAAAAATCCCAAAGAGTATTTTTACATGCTTGACACCGTTTATAAGAACGCTTTTACTGCCTGTATTAATAGCAAGTAATTTCTGAAATTTCAAACTAATTCAAGTGTTAGTGGTGAACTAAAATGGAAAGAGTATGAAGTCGGGAGTGAGTCATCTTATTTTACGGCTCAGACATTTTTGGTACATCTGGAGTGGCCTTTAGGAAAGTATTGACTGCTCCAGAGACAGTTTTGTGCACATGCTCACTTTATTACAATTAGTACACTACTTCATATAATTCCTACTACAAGTAGTTTTAATCAGATATTAAGCCACCCTCCTCCATCCTACCTGCCATTCACTATCCAGTTTTGTTTTATTTCTTTATGGAATTTTTAATTATCTGAAATTATTTATTTGTAAGCTTTTGGTTGTTGTTTATGTCTCCCCACAGGAATGTAAAGTACCATCCTATCCTTGTTCAACACTGTATCCCCAGGACCATGGCCTGACATATACTAGGCATTTTATAATAAGATGTTTATGAACCTGTTACACAGCTAGTTAACGGGCTAAGCCAAGACCGTAATGGCTGATTGTCAAATAGGCTTATTGGATAATTGATTCAGGACAGTGATTTTGTATCATACTTTACATCTTAGAATTTAGGCTTAATCATTTTCTCACTCTTTTCATCTTGAAATTTGTACTATTATTCTCTTTTTTTGTCTGTTCTCTCCTCTCCCTCTCTTTCTCTTGCCCGTTTTCTTCATATTCCAGTGAGCTCCTCAAAGAATTCAAGGCAAGTATTTCTACATTTCTCAGTTCTGGCAAGGTTTGACTGATCTGAGTGTCACATGCTTTTAACAAGTACTCTATTATCTATTCATGAAATTGGGTGACAATGTATTTACTTGAGTCTAGACAGAGTTGTTAATCAGTTTTGACTTATTGTGTTTTCCCCCCAAAAACTATCTCAAAGTAAAATTCGATTTGAATGCAGAGTGAGTAGCAGATATTAAACAATCTTCAATTCTAATATGCTTAGTAAACACATAAACCTTGGAGACTGATTTATTTGAATGAATGTTTATAGAGAAAATATAACGCACTTAAAGACACAGTTTTTATGTTAGGCCATGTTTATGTGATCTCCAAAACATCCCACTTCAAAGAGTCAAAGAGTTCTTTGTAAAGAGAGGCAGGCAAGTCATTTCATTATCAAGCTATTACATCAACACATCAGGATTCCTTCTGAATGCAGACTGTTGATATCCTTCTGTCTCCTTTCCAGCTGGCACTTTTGGACACTCCACTGATTTTTTCAGTTTTCATCACTTCAACAATACAGTCTATTTATCATCTCACATTTTTAAAATCTTTCCTATGTTACAGGATCAAATGCCATACATCCAGACAAATTCTCTCATCTTATACTCCAATAATAGACTTGGATTTTCATTATAAATTATTACAAAAATACCTTCCTATCACTGTAATACCATTGTACCATTATAGCAAAATGACATTTTCTCTCTCAGGTAAAGAAAATAAATTATTGTTAGCACTTGTTTTGATATCCTGAAATGTAATAGATGTTTCCTATTTTGCAACAGATACAAATTATCTATGGAAGGAAGAAGTTCATTATTTCATCAGACATATAAAGAAAACAATATCTACCTCACCTATACTTAATGCTTTAGTACAAAATATAAAGCATTGGAAAAACTAAATAAGTAAAACGATGCTTTCAGCTTCAATTTTGGATAATAAAATAGGATTCTATGGTTTTGTTTTGCATGTCTTCTTTTGTATTTTGTTTGTCTTGTTTGGAAGAGGAAAGATTATTCTTCCTAGAAATCGTATTCCTCAATAAGGATTTTGAATGTCATAACATATTGTACCCTGTGATCTCTTAGTGAAACCAAGATGTTACACATCACCTACAAATGTTATGAGGAGGTATTAAATACAGGTCAATAAGTAGCCTGATTTTAGAGTAGACTATGATTAATTGACTTTTTGAATGCCATGGCTAAGGTAGATTATATTTCACGTATCAGTTGCCACCATTTTCTGAAGCAAATCAGAATAAGTGCCTAACTCTGACAAGCTCATCCTACTTGGTATGTCCTGCCACATTTGCTTCTTTGTTGTCATTTTAATTTCTTTTGCTATTAGCTTCTTTTGATAATGAAACACAGAAGTTCAACTTATTTCTTATGATAGTTGCTATTTTTCTAAATATGGACATTCTCCTACACTCTTAGTGGGAGTGAAGAATGAGATCCCATTATTTTTCAGTGCTGGGTAAAGACATGCATGTTGTTTGTATGTTGTAATGAGAAAATTTCTAATACATTTGGCCACTTTTGCTTCATGCCGCACAAAATATAGCTCACGATATCTACGTAGAACAATTTGTAGAGCTCTTATAGCCGTCACAAAAACACAGATTAATGATGACTTGCCAGCACCGGCTAGGTAGAAGGAAATCTGGCAACATAATCTGGATTAACCTATGTCAATTTTCATGAAATATTTTATTATTCCTTCAAACTTAGCATGGGAGAATATGCAGAAAGCCACATAATGAAGACTTTAATTTTAAAAACAAATCATGTATGGTCTTAAAACAGTAGTAGAAATGTAGTAAATGATATGCCTGGTGAAACTGGATGAATGAATTGTCTGTAAAAGCAGTAGAAAGGAAACCTTATTCAGGATCAATGAAGCCTTGAAGTACTCTTGTTGAGGTAGGATACTAAATAAAACTTATAGAATTTCAGTGTTATTCTAAAATGTATCTCACAATCCATATTATCGTTTTTCAAATGCACAAAACCGTACTTTTGTGACTGTAATGTTGTATTTTAACATAAAACCACGATAAAGAATGAATTCTATATAAACATTTGCAAATATATCTAACAAAATCCTTTGTGTATGCTTTCCAAAGGAAGTTATACATTTATTAAGACAATTTTCTTGATTTCAATTCATCTATATTTAGTCCTTTAACTAACATCCAAATTTTCAGTGTTTGATGTATTATGTCACTATCTTAGCTCAGGTTGCTATTACAAAATGCCATAGACTGTGTGGCTTATACAATAAGCATGTATTTCTCACAGATCTAGCAGGTTGGGAAATCCAAGTTCAGTTCCCAATGAGAGTTTTCCTCTTGGTTTGCAGTCAGCCACCCTTTGACTGTGTCCTGGTATGGCTGAGAGAGAGGGATCTAGTCTTTCTTCCTCCTCTTATAAGGACACTAGTTCCACCACTGGGACTCCACGCTCGTGAGTTTATCCAAGTCTAATGATCTCCCAAAAGGCCTGCCTGTAATTCCATCATGTTGAGGAGTAGGAGTTCAACATATGACTTTTGTGGGGACACAGCCTTCAGTCCATAAAAACCCTTTACTGAGGAAACAATTAAAGATGGTTTAACTTTTCTTTTATCTTCCTTTTCACTGCTATTTCCCAAAATAAAGCTTTTCTCTTAAAAAAATTGTTACTTATTTTATGGTCTTATTGCTATTGTCTTATTTAATTTAGGATGAAGTAAATAAGTTCAACATTGCAGTAAAAAGATATTTTTCTCCAAGATCTACCCTAAGAACCTAGTGACTCCTGGAGTAAATCTCATGAAAGAGTGCTTCCTCTAAACCCTGACAAGACTGGGCCCCTCAGAATTTTTAACTCACAGATATTAGGCACATAGTAGGCACTCATAATTGTAAGTTTCATTATATTTTTCCAGAAGTTAGCTTATGTTAGTTTCACATACATGTCTAAATCTTTTGGTATTCTAATTTACGAATGGAAATTATATCGTGGAAAGAATTATTAGAAATTTTTTAAAATGTAAATAGAAAATACCATGTTAAATGTCATATAGATGCTGAAGTAATATACTTTGCCATGTAAAGAAGGGGAAAAAAACCCACAAAATTTTGTCCTTTCAAAAATACCATTTCTTTCTACAAAGGGGGAAAACTGAATACAACTTTCTTCAGTGGTAAAAGTAAATTGGAGTATTATTTATGATTTAATGCTAAGAAAAATTTGACTGAAGGATAAAGTCAAGTGAGCATACTGATCTTAAATGTGTAACTGACTTAAAAAAGGATACATAAATGTTAAACTTGAGGCTGAGGTTTGTGAAAAGTCTATTTTTATTCATTATTGGTATTTCTAGCTTAAATAATTATCTGTAAAATTAAATAAGATATTTTGGTTAATCCAGTAATTAAAACACACTTATTTCCCTTGCTTTATATATTGTCAGCCTTACCACAAACCACTTTACTGAATGTTCTATTTATTTATATTAATATTAATGTAATTTCTTTATTATTTTTGGTAAAATTACCCACATAATTTCTAGGAATTTAAGGAAGAGTAGTAGAAAGGTAACATACCATCTCTAAGTTAAGTTCAAATGGCTATCATTTCTCTGTGGGCAGAGGCTACTATTTTCATGCCAACAAATAGTGGCTGTTCAATGTGTTTGTGCAACTGAATTCATATGAAATTAGCTAAGTCCAGATTACATGTCTATATGATGATGTTTAATCGCAAATATGTAAAGAAAGAAAGGAAATAATGGGATGTATTGTCTATGTAAAAGAAAACAGAGCACTGAACATACACTATCAGCATATGGAAATAATTTTTCATCTGAAATCAATATTTATTAAAATCCATATATAAAATAACTACTTTCTTATATAGTGGAGATGAAATTATTTTTATGTTGAATAAGAAGGAAAGTCTAATTAAAAATCTATATAATACATTTTTTCCCATTTTATGAGATATGTTCATAAATTTGTCTCCTAATTTGACAATCTCAGAATGCATATGTCATGTGTCATTTATATATGAATTAATACTTAAAGGCTTGATGTCTTTGAATTCAAAATCATGCTCTCAAGCCATTAAGTGTATCCATGCTACACAGACATAGATGTATTTTATTTTTTAAAAATAAAACTATCAATGGTGATTTTTTTCCTTTTCCAATAAAATACTTTGCAAATTTTTAGATTCATGATAATTATCAATTTTTTACTTATTTATTCAGATATTTATTTATTATCTACTTTACTCCAATGTTGTGTTCTTTGTTGGGATTATAACAGTGAAACACAAATATTCTGTCCATACCGAACATGCATTCTTTCATTGAACAATGACTGTAACTGCACAATTGAATGGACTCTTAATCACATATGCTTAGCATTAATATCTGTCATGATTACTGAAATGTGTTTCACTCATTTGTACTCTTCACATTAAATAACCCTCAGGTGAATGTATGAGTTTTGAATCTCATACCTGAATTACGTGCAGCTGGCCCTTTTAAGAACAGTTTCTGAATATTAATTTCATGAAGGTAAAAAATGAAGGAGCTAATTAGGTATAGTACTCTAAAATTCAGACTTATAGTAAACATTTATCATCACTATAAAATGCAACATTGAGGTTAAAGTCTAGTATTTATTTTGACCCATCTGCTTCTAGGATGATGGGATATTTATAAATATATTAAAGATAATCTTATTGTTTCCATCTAGAATTTCTTAAATCTGTCATCCTTGAGATTTCAAAACATTATCTGGCCAGCGAGCTTCATTTGTGATAATATTTAATAAATATATATCTATAATGTGTCATTTTTCAGAAAATCCTGTCCAGACATTGTCTCTGTCAGTTGTAACAACTGAATTTCTAACTACCATCAAATTGTTTAATATTGAATGATATATTAATATATTTATGCTTCTCTTTAGCAATTACACACCTCTGTGTTTTTGAAGACCAGGGAAATTCATTGATACACTTTCTAAGTAGATTTATTTTTTAAAAGTTTTTTGTTTTCATAAAATATGGTTAAACTCAAACAGAATTTTATCATTTGAATGAAAATGTACTGAAAATATCTTTAAACCGAAGATATATATCATTCTATCTAAGTATCAAGAAAACATGGGGAATTTTACAGAAACTTTGTATGTTACCAGATAGTTTTAACATGTAAACATGAAGGCTAATAAGTAAAAATGGGAACTCAATTAAATTACTAAGTATGACAAGTAAATTAAATCAATGTAAGGGTTGAAAATTCCACTGATAACCTTATGCCAGATTAAAATTGAGAAAATATATTCTGACAAAAGATCCAAACTGAAATCAACTCCATATGAATTTAATAATGTTTTAACTATCTGACTCAATGAGCCCAAAAGTGTAGCTAAAAATTAAAGTGATCTACACTAAGACAAAGGAATAGGCTTCTGAATAAAAATAATATTAGAATTTATAACTGTATTCCAAATTAATTCATTAATTGATTAAACCACCCACTTTTTATTAACTTCATGTTGTACACAACAAACCAAGTGTAGTAGTGTTATGGGATCCTTGAGTTGCTTTTCCAGTCAGAAACTTCTGTGGCCAGTGGTGCCTTTGCCCGAGTTTTTCTCAGGCCCATTGGGACCACTCAGCCTGGCAGGCTGTGCTCAGCTCATACTACTGGCCTGGCTCCCACGCCTGCCAAGGGTGAGCAGGGTGGTGAGGGGTTTGTGAGTGAGTGAGTGTGGGGTCTGGCCACTGTGCACAGCCAGGCATACTGGCTGCAGTGGGGCCGGCAGCTCTGGGTGCTGGCACAGGCGATGGCTCCCTGCAAGTCTGTGGCTGGGTCAGGCATACCATAAGCAGCTTCCATGGCTGACACTGGGTACGAAGCGGTGTCCAGAAGCTTGGAGATAGCAGGAATTGCAGAGCCCTAAAAAGAATGTCAAAGCCCTGGCTTGGGAAGCTCCTGGCTCTGGGCTCCCTGAAGGGCCACAGCTCTTCTCTCCTTCTCTCTTCTTTTCTTTTTGTCACTCACAACGTAGTGAGGAAGGGGCGTGTTTCAGCCCTGTTTGTGTTATGGCTCTTTTAGCCCCACCATTCATTAGGTCCTGAGTTCTTGTCCTGCATCCAGAAGAATGAGGTAGACAGAAGGCACTAAGCTGCCTTCAGCACCCCCTTCAGCCTCCCTCCCATGCTTGTTGGTACCTAAAGTCCAGAGGGGGATGAGGCAGCAGGGAAATGGCGTGTCAGCACTGTCACAGGCATTGGCACACCTGGCCAGATTGAGATAGTCCCCGGGCTCGGCCTCAACTTCGCTCTGAGATTGGAGTGGACACTGACAGCAGGGAGAAGCCAGGTAGCAGGAGTAGGCACTTTTGAGCCTGCAGGCAGGTGCAGGGAGGTTCTTCCCAGGCCCCCGAGAGTGCAGAGATGCCTGGGTCTACGGCCGTGGCCCGGTTGGCTGCAGCTGCTCCTGGGAGGGCAGGGCTCCCGCCTACTCCTGGCCCCCAGTATATAGAAATGCCTGGGTCCGCAGCCATGGCAGTGTGGCTGCAGCGGCAGCTGGGTAATTCCTGCTGTGTCAGTGCAGTTTCCCGTGCTCAGGGCCACATAGCAGGGTGCCTCAGGCCCAGCTGCTGCAAGAACCTGCACCTGATGCTTGTCCCTATGGACTATGTGTGGGGTCTGTGCTCCAAATTCTGAGCCTCAACCTCCAGGGTGGGCAGGTAGATTTGTGAATCACATACCTTGGTGATTCACGTGTGTGGTGCCCGTCTTGGGCAAACAAACCCAGGTGGGCAGCTTTTCTTTGCTGTTCTTCTAGTTTGCCTCCTGTCTGCATTTTCTTCACAGGAGTGGCAGGTGAGATGTAGGTGGCATGGTGGCCCCAAAGAACTCTGCACAAATGAACCTGATGCTCTTGGGGCCAGCCCCACAATTCCTGGCTGTGCCTTCAGCCAGGGGCTTGTGGGCTCCTGTGACATGGTGGGGAGCGAGGTTGAGGCCACGGTGGAGGTTCTGGGCCTGGGAGCAGGTTCTGCGTTGCTGTGTGAGGGTGGGGATGGTACAGTTGGTTGCCTTGGGGGTGTGGAGCACAGGAGATGAGGGGGAGAGGAAACCCACCACCCAGGCCTCCCCACTGCAGCCAGTGTGATGGCAAAGGCTGCTCCAGATGGCCCACTGCTGCCATCAATAGTTTCTGTGATTAATGCTGTTGGAGATACTAAGACCAAGCAGTGTCTGTATCATCCAGGGTCTTAATCTGTGAAAGAGCAAATAAGGCAAGCTCAAAAACTAACTTTAATATAACATGTTGAGAGGTGCCATCATCCTCTTGGTCCCTGGCTTTTATAGGATTTCTTTTCATCATCTTTCCTATAACTTGATACATTTTAATATGTGATGCATGTTTACACATGTCAATATTTGTACAAAGGTATACAACCTGTCCCTCTTACAGGGTTAGGGTCCCTGTGATTGTTCTACTCTCTCCATAAATTAATAGAAAGTTTTACTTCAGTTTGGAGTTGATAAACTGGGGGAAAAGAGGAAAGCTTATTTGGGAGACAAATTGACCCAGCAATTTTTTTATCAGCTTTAGCACCTTGCTGTATGAAAACTTTATTCTCTATTTTTATTATCTTTCTTTACACATTTTGTTTTTTTAAATATGTTTCAAGTTTAGAAGTTAATTTAAAATTTTAATTAATCACCTTTCTCAAGTTACTCTTTTAAAAGCTCTAAATATCTGTTACTATCCTTTTATCTCAGTTTATATACACATGCTTAAAAAACTTGCTTACACAATGGCCCAAATAATACTAAAGTAAAAAATCCTCACATATTAGATTTGCTCAATAACAAGAATGATTAATATAGTTTCCCTGTCCTGATCGTGGTCTATTTAGCAACATAGATATTTAGGAAATGAACTCAATATATTAAATTAGTATTAGATCATAAATAAGCAAATGATGCATTGAAGCTAAAAATACACATACATATTTCTTGGTTTAAATAAATCGACCCAATAGTCCCGTAGATAGTTATTTTTGATAAACATAGAAATGGACTCTTCTGGTCTTAAAACTTGCAACTTATATTTTTTCACTTGAGTTCCTTTCTTAAGAAACAATCTTATGGCCTCTCAGAGTATGGGAGAACTGAAACTCACCAGATTACCATATTCAGACGATGAGATGCTGAACAGCTCATTCATCATGATTGCTTCCTTGCCCCTCCCTAGTTCTTGTTTTCCTATGCACATTATTACATTCCTTCCCCGCTATGTAAGCCCCTCATTTTAGTTTGTCAGAGAGATGGATTTGAGACTGAGCTCCCATCTCCTCAGCTGCAGCATCTGGTTAAAGACTTCTTCAGCAACACTTGTCATCTTGGTGATTGGCTTTCTGTGTGGCAAGGAGCAGGACCTAGACCAAACCCCTGGTATTTTGGTAGTAATGTGTGTAGGGTTCCCAGATAAGTCACATCTAAATAGAGTTTTGTGCCAATAAAATATATTTATTGGATAAGCAAGATAAGAAAGAAACTCTCAGGCAGACAGGGACAACTTACATCATGTGCAGAATCAAGGAGTAAAGCACTCCTGATATCAGGAGGAGAAAACAATTCCTGGTGTGTAGATCATGGATACTGTGTTGGTTGTACAAGATCAAGACAGAAATATGTATTTTTAGTTGACAAATTCGTATATATTTATCAGGTACAATATGATGTTTTGAAAACATCATATAATGAAATATATATTGTGGAATGGCCAAATCAAGCGAATTAGCACATGCATTGCCTCACATATCATAGAGGGATGCAAAAAGAAGCACAAATTTTTCAAATATTAGAGACATATCATTGTTGGTTCTCAGTTGCTTTCCCCAACACATGGTGATAGGGAAGGGTGTAGGGCACCTTTGATGAGATCACAGGTGTGGACTATGAGGGGCTTGTGTGGCTTGGAGGGGCCTACCCTGGGCTTCCGTGTGTTACCTGTGGGTGCCCCTTGCCAATTGGCCAGAGGCATCTGAGGTGAGAAATAAGCCCATGTTGGCATCCTTGGCATCCCTCAGGAAGACCTGAAGTGAGAGCCTTGGAAAGTCAGGATCCAGCAGGAGGACATTTTGCTCTCTTGAGCATTTGCTGTCAAGTAAGCTGCCTATAGGGCTTTTAGTAGAATGTGGGTGCCTGGTTACTAGCATTCTAAGTTCTGTTGGGGTCTTTCACCAAGGAAGCGAGGTTACTTTTTCAAGGTTCCAGTGTTCCTTGTATTAACTATGGTCACCCTGTTTTATAATAGGTCTCTTGATCTTATTCCTCATATCTAACTGAAATTTTGTATCCTTTAACTAACATCTCCTCAACCTCTCCATGGCCACCAAACTTTTGATAACTTTTATTCTACTGTCTGCCTCTATAGGTTTCTTTTTCAGATTTCATATATAAGTGAGATCACGCAGTATTTGTCTTTCTGTGCCTGGCTTATTTCACTTAACATGATGTCCTCCAGGTAAAACAGAAATCCGAATGGATTGAATGGAATTGTGACACATCATAAAGGTTCTTAAGTATCAAACTGATCCCTTACATTTATCCTGAAACTACTACATATGTTACAAAATTTTTTTTTAAGCAAGTGAGTGGCACATTGATCATTGTTGTTCAAGAAAAGTATGGTAGGGCTGGGCATGGTGGCTCACACCTGGAATCCAAGCACTTTGGGAGGCCAACGTAGGCAGATTGCTTTACTCTAGGAGTTTGGGACCAGCCTAGGCAACATAGCAAAACCTTGTCTCTACAAAAATACAAAAATTAGCCAGGAGTGGTGGCACACATCTGTAGCCCCAGCTACTCGGGAGGCTGAGTTGGAAGGATCACTTGAGCCTGGGAGGCAGAGGTTTCAGTGAGCCAAGATCATGCCACTGCACTCCAGTCTAGGTGACAGAGCGAGGCCTTGTCTAAATTAAAAAAAAAAAAAAAAAAAAAAAAGTTGGGGGGGTGGGAGAAAAGAAAATTATGGTGGTTGTGCAAAATAAGTTAGAGGTGAGGAATTTTAATAATTTAGTGCAAATTTATTGATAAACATAAGTAAACTATAACAGAGATGAAAAAAGAGGCATGAATTCTTCAATTATTGGATACATACCATTATTGGAACTTGGAAAATGAATATCTATGAAGGATTACAGGAGAGGGAAAAATAAAGCTTGGTTCAGAATCCTATATTGCTTTCTGGAAAATGGATAGTGATGCAAAAACAATCATTAAAAGATCAGATTTATTATTAAAATTGTGAGATTAATTTTGGACTTGGAAATCAAGTGTCCTCAGATATTTAATTAATGGTTGATGCCATTGAAACCAATGGAGAAGAGAGTTTCATAAAAGATGAATATAATATAATGTCTAATATTAGAATACATAATAAATTTTGGTCACATTTGCTTTGACATTTGCAGTATTATTAATGGCTTGGGCAAGTATTGATTTCATACATAGTGTGTGAGTTGGAAGCTACTCTGCTGTGGATTGAGAAGTGAAAAGCAGCGAAGGAAAATAATCAAGTAAACTTTCAGGAAGATTGGTTCTAAAGAAAATGAAAAAATGAATATGCAGGGATGTGGAAGATGCTTTGAATTTCTGTTATTATTTTTGAAATGGTAGAACGTATTTATATGATAAGGAAGTGGAGTAAGCAAGTACTAAGGCAAACCAGCTTACTGTGAGCCAGTTTCTATATATCATGAAAATAAAACCATTTATGAATTAGAAAATTTAGATTTTTGCAGGCATAAATAGACCAGATAATTTAGCCAATGGAGTCCAGAGTACATCAATGATAATGTATAAAAATAAGTAAATAATAATGAATTAAATCTTATAGCTGTATAGCATCCATTCAGGTAATTATTTTAAACATAGTGCAAAGATTGGAGGTAAATATTTTGCTTTGGGCAACACTGTTGTATGAATCTTGTTTATCTGGAGTTACAAGATTCAGTTTTTAATTCCAGTCTTAGCTTTTCTACATTGAGCAAGTTACTTAAATTTTAGTAGTTTTTCACTTGTAAAATGCAAATTATACTTGTGCTTGCTTCGCCAATCATTGTGAAAAGTAAATGACAGGGAACCTGATACAATACAAAGACTGATACATTGAAAGATCTCAATAGAAAGTAACAGTTTCATTATTAATACATAGTTTCCTAGATCTGTGGCAATACATTATCTTCTTTGTATGGTTCCACACATTGTCTTTACTTGTTCTCATAAACTATTGTCTTCTTAAATAGACTTAACACTTCTAGTACATTTATCACTACTTATTGTGAAGAAAAAATATTTTTTACAGTTTTGTTATATCGTGCTACCAAATAATTTTATATTAGGCTCTTTAATAGGGTGTTGCAAAACTTTTATTCTGCATTTCTACTTCTCTTTCTCTTCCTGAGTTCACAATGATGATAAAACCTGCTTACTTGATGGTGGGATGATCTAGTCTCCCACCTCATAATCTTTTGCAAAGAGGATAGTAAGAACACAAAACACTAATCATCTAATACTTCAAAAGATCTTCCAGTCATCCCAGCTTTGAGCATCACAGCTAGTCAGCCTAGAAATCCAGTAATTGGAAAGTTAGAACTGATATCCTACCTTTTCTTACGCTGGACTTACAACTCCATATTTTATCCTAAGCATTTGGAAGATTTGACTCTGATTTAATAAAACCAATTATTTAGAGCAGTACTGTCATATCGAACTTTGTGTGGTGATGACAAGTTGTATACTTCTGTCCTATATGGTAGCTGCTAGTGACATTTGGATATTGAGAAGTTGAAATGTGACTAGTGTGACTAATGAACTAAACATTTAACTTAATTTATTTTTTTACTAAAAGGAGGTTTTTAGTAAAAACCACATGGCTAGTGGTTACAGTAAATTGGACCCCCAAGTTCCAGAGTTACCATTTTCAACTGTCCAAATGCTACTCTTAACAGTCATATTATTTTTCTAAGCAAGTTTGCTTATAATGGGGAATAATTCTCTAAATGAAGAGTCTTTGAAGTTTATACTTCAAGTCATGGTTAGTTATTCTGTGCAAAACAACTGATATGATCATCAGCCTTTTCTACCTGTGGTAAGGTTGTGGCATTTTACTGATGATACTGACTCTGTACCTCTATCACAAAGGGGTCTGAATTTCTATACCTATGTTTGAGATGTCTTCAATTATCTTAGTGATGCAGAATTTTTCTTCTTGGCCATTTTGCAAGCTGGGGTACCCCAGCCAGCGACACTCCACCCAGGCCTTGCTCGGCCATACTGATGTGCCCCAGCTCACCTGTGTTATAGCTTGTACCCACATTCAGTGGTTCCTGAGCTCTTATACCATGCCCAAGAAGAATGAGGATACACTGGATATTGAAGGGTGAGGAGGGCAGAGAAGAATTCTGTTGAACAATGAAAATAGCTTTCACCAGAGAGAGGATGGATGCACAGTTGGTCTCCCTACTTAAAGAAAGGAAATTTCCCCATGTGGCTGGGTCTGGGGCCTTTTATGGACTCAGAATGGGGAGTACATGCTGATTGGTTGGTGAGTATGCAAAAAAGGTTAAGTGAAGATGCCACTCAAAGGTGGGCACGACAGTGTAGAAAACCAGTTAGAAAAAAGTAGGTATATGTAAAATAGGTGAAAGGTGGGGATCAGTCAGAGGAAAAGCACACCAAAGAGGAAGACAAGTTCTCAATCTGGTCCGAAGATCTAATTTGTAGCTTGTTTTTCAGGCTTTCAACTATCTTTGGACTGAAAGTGGGGTTTTTACCAGGGACCCTCCCCTATCTGCCTAGGCATTTGGCTGCCTCCTGTTGCTATCATTTGCCATTTCATTATCTGTGTGTGCATGAGTGTGTGTGCGTGTGTGTGTGTGTGTGTGTGTGTTCAGGGTAATTTGGGGTGAGTGATGCTAGAGATTCAGGTAGACAGTATTAAGACTGAATTCAAATGCAGAGACTTCACAGGCTATCAAAGAAAAGGCTCAGAGGTTATGGACAAATAAATGACCACTAATATCTAGTCTATAGGAACACTAACTTCATGTTCTTTTATCATCTCAGTGGTTATTTTCGTAATCTCCTTGTTCATTTCTAGATCAAAGAAAAGTTTGTGAACATTTTTGAGAGAATAGAAATTATAGAGCTTGTTAAAGTTAGATTTTATTTTTAAATATTTGTGCATTTGTTTCATTTTCAGAAATGTGAAATTTATTTAATGTTAACTTTCTAAGATTAAAATAATCAGAAGGGAATGTTCAGCCTATTCCTTTGATCGTTTCCGTCCTTCTATTTCCTGTGCTTCTTTAATTTGTAGCCAACTTTGCACATGCATTACACATCGCAGAGCAAGGCACATTGAACCACACAGCTGAGAATGTTAGAGGTTGCATGGTTTATGAGAGAATTGCCCGTAGTCAGACTAGAACAATAGTAGTGGAAACTTTAGCACTTTGCTACCTAAGGTCCTTTTTGACAATAGTATGTTTGAGTCAACTTGACAAATATTGGCAGTGGCCCAACCTATTTTCTACACAGAGCAGTTTTAAGCTGATAATTGTTGCACCTGATATAGAATCATTTTGGAAAGAGTTATCAACTGAAGTAAGCTAGACAAAACACCTGGCTTACTAACAGAGAATCTGGACAGTAAACATTAGTTTGGAAATAATTATAGTAATTCCTTCCTGGAGGCCTTTGCCACGTCTTTGGCTTACAGGACTTGAGTTCACAGACTGATAGTAGAAAAAGATAAATACAAACCTTCAAATACGAAGTGAAAAGAATTATGTTTAGAATAAAGTAGGTTCATGGATGTAGTGATTTCCTATAGCCTTGAGGATGAAAACAAAAACTACTGTGAGAAACTGTCAGAATCTACAGATTAGATATTAAAATCATTTTATATTTATATTTTGTATTTTACATTTCCCACTTTTAACAGAAACATAGTAAGAGTGGAATAATAAAGATAATAGAAACAGAGTACTGACTACAGTATTTAATAAGTGACCAGAAAATGCCAAATATAAACGGGATTAGATTTAGGGACATCTAAACATGATATACTGAGACTTTTCTCATCTGGGCCTGAAGGCTGATCGATCCTCATCAAAGGCCGATTCATTCAATGCTGTCATGTGCTTGCACAAAGTAGATGTTAAATAAATATTGAATCTGCCTGAGTAAAGATGAATAAATTAGTGTCTTTCGAATATTGATGAATATACTTATTTTTAATTTATTTGGTCTAATTTCAGCATGATTGCATTGAGGCAGAATCAAATATTTTAAATAAGCTTATGACATTCTTAGGGTGCTTGTTCATAGGGATTCAATGATAATCCTTATGTTTGTTCCTAGGGATTGCAGATATTCTCTGCAAATGGAAAGTACACCAAAGAAATTGCAACAATTTAGCATTTTGTCATTTCCCTCTGCCTGTCATCTGCCTTCACATTCCAAGGCTAATTTTTACCCGTTAGTATAGTCTATGGCACAAAATTAGAGATAAACATTGTGAAGAAAAAAACGTAAAGATGGCTATCTTTATATAGTGTTAATTTTTTGTTTAATTGGAATACTCCATAACACATAGGAGAGAAATAAAATGCAATATGCTTTCTGAAGTTTTAAGAGGAAAATAGGAATATTGTCCATCCTGTTCCATTGTCTATAGTATCAGAATAATGTCGTTTGCACAGAATTATCTGATAATTATTCTTTCTGGGATGCTTCAGTTCTTCTTTCTTATTATTGCCTGATATGGTTTGGCTGTGTCCCAACCTAAATCTCATCTCAAATTGTAGTTTCTTCCCATAATCCCCATGTGTCATGGGAGGAACCAGGAGGAGATCACTGAATCACGTGGTGGTTCCCCTTTCCTGTTCTAGTGATAGTGAGTTAGTTCTCATGAGTTCTGATGGTTTTATAAGGGACACTCATTCTTCTCTCTCCTGCCACAATGTGAAGAAGGACGTGGTTGCTTCACTTTCTGCCATGATTATAAGTTTCCTGAGGCCTCCCCAGCCATGCTGAACTGTGAGTCAATTAAAGCTCTTCCCTTTATAAATTACTCAGTCTTAGGTGTGTCTTTATTAGCAGCATGAGAAAGGATTAATACAATGCCAAATCTGAAATATGTCAGTTTCTCCCAGAAAATAAGTTGCCACATAAAAAGGAATATTTACATTTTAAAACTCTGTTATGCTTTTTTAAAGTTGCTGAAGTCTGGAAAACTCTGAAACCTGTTAATAACAGCAGTGGACAAACCAACTTGGATTAATATCTCAAATGATTCCTAATTCAGGCATATTTCAAAGGCCCATACTTTTCTCTGATGCTTTAAACCAATTATTTCAGGCATAGTGGAAGTCTTTTTCTTTACAAATGTCTCTGCTAGACAAAATAAAATGTTAGCTGACACATATAATGAATGTTTTAATTCACTGTGTGTAGATGGAAAATAGAACCCCTAAGAAAACCTTAAGAAGAAAGTTATCTCACAGTAATTTTCAGTTCCTCATTTCCCTGTGAATTATGCCTACTGATGTGGAATATTTCTTCAAGAAAGGTGGAAGATAATATGTAAAATAGTTGGTGACTTTTCATAGAGGGAAATGATAGGAAAGAGAATTTTATTTTACAGTTCACTAATCTATATTTGAACATGTACAGTATTATATAGCTTACGTAATGTGATTTTTTTCTCCTCTACTCTTATTGAAAGTGTTTAGAAGGCATAGCCACTGTAAGAGAATTTTTTTTAAAGAAGGTTAATTTAATTTGTGATTCCCCATACTCTCCCCACTCAGCTCTACCTACCTATTCAATTTTACAAAGTTTTAGGGCAATAGGGGAAAAAGCCAGAAATAAATCCATGTATCTACAGCCAAATAGTTTTCAACAAAGACACACACACAAAAAAACATACCTTAGGGAAAAGACATCCTTTTCAATAAATTCTGCTGGGAAAATTGGTTATCTATAGGCAAAAGAATGAAACTGGACCCCTGTCTCTCACTATGTATAAAAATCGAGGTATACATTTAAACGTAAGACCTGAAAGTATACAACTACTAAAAGAAAACATAGAAAAGACACTTCAGGTTATTGGTCTAGGCAAAGATTTCATGGCTAAGACCTCAAAAGCACAGGCAATAAAAATGGGATGATGTTAAACTAAAAATCTTGTGCGTAGCAAAGGAAATAATCCACAGAGTGAAGGAACAGACTGTCAAATGGAGAAAATATTTGCAAATTATTCATCCAACAAGGAACTAATATCCAGAGTATACAAGAAACAACTCACCAGTAAAAAGACAAATAATCTCACTAAAAAGTAAGCAAATGACATGAATAAACATTTCTTGAAAGAAGACACACAAATGGCCAACAGACACACGAAAAAAAATTCAATATATCTAATCATCAGGGAAATACAAATCAAAAGGCCAGTGAAATATCAGTTTACCCTAGTTAGGATGGCTACTATCAAAGAGAGAAAAAAATAACAGATGCTGGCAAGGATTTGGGGGAAGGGAATACTGTTGATGGGTAATTAAATTAGTAAGACCACTATGAAAAACAGCATGGAAATTTCTCAGAAAGCTAAAAACAGAACTACCATAAGATCCAGTAATCTCACTACTGGGTATTTATCCAAAGGAAAATAAATCAGTATATAAAAATGATACCTGAACTTCCATGTTTATTGCACCACTATTGGCAATACCAAAGATATGAAATCAATCGAAGTGTCTACCAACAAATGAATAGATAAGGAAAATGAGGTGTGTATACACAATGGAATAGTTTTCAGCCATAAAAAAAGAATCACATTCTTTCATTTGAAGCAACATGGATGGAACTGGAGGTCATTATGTTAAACGAAATGAGACAGGCACAAAAAGACAAGCATTACAAGTTCTCACTTGTATGTAGAAACCAAAAACGTTGTTCTCATGGTGGTAGAGAGTGGAAATGATAGATACCAAAGGCTGAGAAGAGTGTGTTGGTGGGAATGGGATGAAGAGAGGTAGGTTAACGGGTACAAGCATACAGTTAGATAGAAGGAATAAGTTTGAATGTTTCATAGCAGACTGCAGTGACTATAGTTAACAATATTGTATATGTCAATAATAATATTAACAATATTGTATATTTCAAATAGATAGAAAGTGCAAAATGTTTCCAACACATAGAAATTATAAATACTCAAGGTGATGGATATACAAAATACCTTTACTTGATTATTTCATATTCTATGCATGTAAAACATGCTACATGTACACCACAAATATGTACAAATATTACTTATCAATTTTTAAAAATCCCGCAATCACAACTCTCCAAATACCACTAGAAGTGTTAAAGGAGACAAAATGAAGCAGAAGGAAAATACCCATAAGAAAGTCTATCATAATCTCTGCTTTGTATTTTCTTAGTAAAGCTAAAATTAATAAACATGAGTAGGTATATTCACCTCACTTTTGGAAAAAGATAGAAGATAAAAATAATCAATAATGTTGAAAGTCTACATCACATGCTGCCCATTCAGCTAGAAATAAACCTTGTTACTTGGGGTAAGAACAGGACAGTTTGTTTACCTGTTTACTATTTTTTTCTATGGGAGATATTGAAATCCGTGCTCTGAATTGTTATCCAGGCTTTTCAGATATACCTACATTCCCTACGTAAACACTTTTAATTCAGGAATATAAGCTGTTGATAAATATCTGTTACCAATAGTCTGTATATTATATATATGCTATTGTTATAGAATATAATGCACTACATTATATGTGATATATGTTTATAAATTATATAAGTAAAAATAATGAGGAATACAAAATACTTAATAGTAATATTTGTTGTTAATTGCTTCTTACAAAGAAACTAGGAAAAACTCTCAATTAGCATGATTATAAAGTATATTTTTATCCTTTTTATCCAGTCTAGAATCTCTTGGATGCTTTTCAAATTTCCATTGTTACATACAGACACTGAGAACTCTGCTTCTCAGGTACAATCTGCAGTGGCTTTGTAACATGATACCTTTTCTAGAATGAACTACATTTCCCAGAATTCCTTTCTCCATATATTTTTGGTTAGAGTTGACCACAAGAGAGATTCTTGTGAAAGGCTGAGAAAGTTGAAATAAAGCAGGAGTCATTTGATAGCATACACCTACTGTCATTTATGTGCTCACTCCTCTCAGGATTGTGCGATAGGCACTAGTGCTGTGACTGCTCCGCCTTCCCTGAGATCCTCCTTCAGCAGTAGAGAATCTGGGCCCACGTGTTTAGCCCTGAGACAAAGACATTTGGCTTCTCAGGATGCCCACACCACCAATGACACAAGCAATAAGAACTGACATATATTTTAGTCCTGCCTCATGGGTTCCCAGCTTGTGCTTCTATAGGTTCCAGCTTGTTCTTGACCTCTCCCATGTTACATCTATCTCCTCTTCCACACCGGGTGTCCTGCATACTTCAAACTCTAACATCATATGTGAAGACAACGGGCTTACTGGACTGCTTAACTAGCTCCCACAATTTCATAAGGTCAACAAAGACCAACTGTGGCGGTCTGCCTCCAAGAGGAGCCTCAATGCTCCCAGCCCCTGGTATTCAGATCCTTGTTAGTATCCTTCCACATTATAATCAATAAAATATAGCATAAGCAATGGTATATAAGTACCAAGGTTATGCTATTAAAAAATTGCGCTTTTGTCTTAGGGGAGCTTAAGTTCTCTTCCCCCATTTGATGACTCACTCTGGAAGAACAAGCTGCTATGTTATGAACAGCTCTGTCGAGATCTTTTGTGCCCAGGAACTGAAGTTTCTGACTAATAATCATTAAGAAACTGACAACTGCCAGGAACCACTTGAGTGAGCTCATTAGTAAATCCTTCCCAGGTGTGCCTTCAGCTAGGTCTGCAGCCCTGACCAACGACTTGACCGCAGCCTCATAAGAGTCTGAGCCAGAACCACTCAGCTAAGTTACTCCTAACTCTCAAAAACTGTGAGACATATATGTTTGCTGTTTTAAGCTACTAAATTTTAAGGTAATTTGTAACACAGCAGTAATAACTACTCAGTACAATTTATCAAGTCCTATGCTTCACTAATGAGTTCATCAAAAGTTAAATTAATTCCGTCGAAGGTTTTCAAGTCTTCCTAAATAATATATATTCAGATTGTTATTATCAGGTAAAATTACTTTCTCTCTGACCTTAACATCTTTCCTATTTGTATTATCTCTACGAAATGTGTTCTCTTTATGTGTGTGGCATCTTTTCAGTCAGTGTATTATGACCCTAGGTAAAGTGTTTTAAAGGTTAATTACTAATTTGAATATGAGATGGAAACAGCCTTATCATTTTTGCAACACACAAATGGGAAGAGAGGGATCAGCTTTACTCTTATCTAAGTTGTGCATTGTCAAAGTCACTTTATCCTGCATCGTGACTTTAAACATAATCTATAAATCCTATTTCTCTCATATATTCCTGGGCCTCTTGCATTTCTTTAATTGCCAGATTTATATGTAAGCACTTTTTGACATCTTCAAAAGATAGCAAATTGACACCTCAAACTAAACATGTTCCAAATATCTCATATTCCATTGAGCTTGATAACCATTCTGCAGATAGTCTGTATTGATTCTAACAACTTTCATGCAATCATTTTCTTTTTGCTTGGAAAAGTGGAAAACTTGATATCGTTAGCTTTGAGTACAAAACAGTTTTGACAATTAAAGTGTTTTTTAACTTATTTGCTGGTTTCTGTTGCCAAACTGGGTTATGCAAACATGAATTTCTTGCTCACAATATGCTATTTTTTAGCTTTATGAGTGTGAAATGTCACAGTGGAAATGTCAGCATCACTGGCAGTGACTTTTTAAATCTGGCTTCCTAATCAGTCTATTGCATCTATACGTGTTCATTTTCCAGCTTTCTGTGTATCTAGACATGGTTGCACTGATAGAATCAGTGGCAGGTTTTTCATTTCAGTGATGCCTGGAAAATAATAACTCCTGGCAGCCACCCTATTTAAGGTGTTTCTCAGTGGTTCTGGAAGTCATTCCTGGAGGTTCAATGTAGATTTTGCCATTTAAGTTCTTCCAATATACTTACTCACTTTCCTATTAAGTCTCTTTCTGCCTAGAGTTGGATGGTAATTTCTAGGTGCTACAATAAACTCAAACTTATGCCTTTCACTTCCTGTATGTCTACTTCACCCCAATGTTTCCCATCTCAGATAATTCCCTTTATTCAGTTGCTTAAATGTAATTATCAGAGTCATCCTTGACTCCTTCTTTTGTCTCATCCTCATATACAAAACAACAGCCAATCCTATTGGCTAATATTATTCTGAAATTTATTCAGAATTCAATCACTTTTTGTCACCTCTTCCTCTACCACCAAAGTTAAAGACAAGCTCACCTATTTCCTTAATTATTGTGATTCCCTTCTAACTTGTTCCCCTGATTCTAATCATGCCTTTCTATAATCTTTCCTTCATAAAGTAATTAGAGTGATGTATAAATATCAGTTATTTGGGAGTCCGAGGCGGGCGGATTGCCTGAGGTCAGGAGTTCAAGACCAGCCTGGCCAATATGGTGAAACCCCATCTCTACTAAAAATACAAAAATTAGCCAGGCACGATGGTGGGCGTCTGTAATCCCTGCTGGGAGACTGAGACAGGAGAATTGCTTGAACCCGGAGGGAAAGGTTGCAGTGAGCCGAGACCGTGCTATTGAACTCCATCCTGGACAACAAGAGCAAAACTCTGTCTCAAAAAAAAAACAAAAAACAAAAAACCAAACTCGGTTATATCTCACAAACCTACGTAAAATTGCCGTGACTGAGTTAATCCCCTCACCATTTTCTCTTGCTTTATTTGTCTCTATAGCACTTACTATTTTCTGGTATAAGAACTATTTATTCAGCATTGGTTGATTGGCTCTTTAACCAGTTTTTGTGCTCCCATCCGGAAAACCATCAGCCATATGAAAGTAACATTTTTTCCTGTCTATTTACTGCTATATCTCCAGCATCTAGAACAGCAGCTGTCACACAATAAGTTGCTCAACAGATATTTGTTGAACAAATGAATGGCAGCCCTCCATTCTATCTCTGAATGACTCTTTATCTCACTAAGAATCAAGGACATAGAGTTTTTCATCCCCTGTTATGCTCCACAGAGTCTGGCTCTCGGCTAACCCTGTAACCTCATTCCTACCTTTTTCATTTTGCTCCAGCCATATCGGCCTCACTGCTTTTCTGTGGACAGACCATACAGTGGTCACTTGAGGGCCTTTGCAGTTGCTGGTCCTTCTGCCTAGAATGTGCTTTTTCTAGCGATCTAGGTACCTTCCTTGCTTCTCAGTTTTTAATATTTTCTTTTTGATAGAAGATAGTATTTGATACATTTTTTGAATCTTTAAGCAATAATCAGGGTAAATGTATTCTTATCTTTATATGTAATTTAATGGGGAGCATATGGAGTACTGCATATTATTCTCATCCTATGAAAGCATATGGAACTCCTAAGATAGGCTTAGAATGAGTGACTAGGGCAATATTTTCTGCAAAAATGCAGACGATATATCAAATAGATTTTTAGCTCTGTGAAATGCCAAAGGAAGAGATGAGCCATTTGATAATTGCCAGAACCTTTCTCTGAAAGCTCACCAGGACCATGAGTCATTATTTAGGTGACAAGATGTCAGGATATGACAAGACATTTCTGTTATATAACATGACAAGGAGCTTAACCCAGTTCTAATGCTGAAAAATACAAGTCGAAGTAAAAATAAAAATGAAATAGGTCTTCCTTAGTTTCTTTGATGAAAAGATATCAAAGGACTTTATAAAGTACTTCTATTTTCAAAACGCACAAACTAAGATTCTAAGCCAAAAAGTAGGTGCATTTATAAATGGATACTCAAATGTTCCTTTAGTGATGTATACAGCAATCTTAACAAAAACTTGGCAAAAGAACATAGCTTTGTCAGCTTGGTATATTAACTGTAAGGAAATAGTTTTTATTAAAAACAGAAGACTTTTTGTGGAATAAGAATCTAAAGTTTAGAAATATCTTATTTTTATAGATTTCCTAAATTTCTTTGGATATATTTAAAACTACATTAGAATGGTACAGGAGTGTTGTCCTGAAGAAAATAGAGCAGCTTCCACATAAATTTTAAAAGTATACATATTTAAAAAAAATTTTTAAAAACAACTGTTATTAAAAAATGACTTCAATGAAAAAGGATAAGTTTATCAGTGAAATAAACTACGTGATTTTTAAAAAAGACAACTTTAATACATTTAAATCACATTGAAAAATGATAATTTCAAATGTCAATAATGGCTCCATGAATTAATAGAAGTGCAAAGCTTGCCAAGTCATTATTTGACATTAATTATAAGTTGAAAAGGATGTTGTGTCCATAAAATATTAGCTTCCATTGAAATTATGACCTAATGAAGTAATGGAACTTCTATTGAGGTTTATGATTAAACATACCCTTCAATTATGAAATGTTTTTGAAGCAAATTATTTTATCTCTGAATCTAGTTACAATCAGTGAATCACTTAAACAACAGCTTAGACCACAAATAGTTGATGTACCAAAATTTGAAGGAGAATGTTATTGCACACTGTTTTCTCATTTAGTATGTAAACACATATAAACAGCCAACTTATTTAGGTAAAAGTGACACAAAGTTAAAATTTTTGAAGGAAGATGGAGTGAGCTAAGGTGATATGGTGACATCTGCCTGAAATGTCTTCCATTAAAAGTTGTTTTAGTATGATTTCTTAACAAGGATCTATTTTCCTTTACTACACAGGTGTCCTTGTGTTAGGTAGAACTATAATCACTTTCAGAGTATAATTTTGACATTATTCTTACTTTCTAAAGCTCACATCCAAAGAGTCACAATAATAATCTAGTGAAGAATGAGTTTTTCTTAGACTCAAACTTTTTCACAATGCTCCTCTGAATTTATTTGCTGCTAAAAATGTGTACTTACCATATGAGCTATAGAAAAAAATAAGCTACTGTAATCTCAAAAGCTCAGTTGAGAAAACGTTATTTATGAATAATTGTCTGGAATTTACTTAATTCATCTATTAGTCTAATACCCTGAAATCTATTTTTGGATTAAATCAACCAATCAAAAAACCACGTATCTATAAAATTGGTTTTAGGAATTGGCCTTTGTGTTAATTCCATCTACAGAATATTTGGAGCAGTATTATGAGAAATATTTATAAGAAACTCATCCCCTCAATTTTATTTTAAAATGTTATTGGAAGGATATTAATTAATCAATATAATAATAAAAAATGTAAATTACCAGGCAATAAGTTGAAGGCATTATTATAGAAATGTAGTATAAAATAATGGTGAAGAGATTAAATTTTAAAATTTTGCGGTCAATCATATCTAGGTTTTAGTTACAGCTTGTTTACTTAACACATGAGTGATGTTTGGCAAATTAGTCTTATTTTGTTTCTTCATCTTTATAAGAATGTAACAAAACATCACATGTAAGTCACTTGGCAGGTTTCATAGATCTGAATAAGAATTCATTAAATATCAAGAATTATCATTTCTAATAGTCTTTCTTTTTGAAGGCTATATGAAGAAAATATATCTGTGGTCTTAATTGATGAATGGTTATGCGGCACCTGAAAACTGTTTTATGTGACATAATCTTGTGATTTTTGTAGCCGTTTTTGCTTCCATTTTTATTTTACTGCAAAAATTTTAGAGCTCTGTATGTACCTGCTTCTAGAAATGGAATTTGACATTATGACTTTCCTGTACTCTTTTTGAAAATAATTTCACCTTTGGCTCCTGTTTAAAATTAACTAGTTTATTACTACTCTGTGAAGCACCTGTGCCAGTGAAAAAATCATATAAAAAGTCAGAAGCCACTCTGTTTAATCAAGTAAAAGGTGCTTAGGATAATATTAGGGGTTTAAAACCACTGAAAGATCAAGAGAGTGGTAGTGAAGAGAGCTTCCACAATAGAGGATTTCACACCAACGTTGTCAAATTGAAGCAGTGAAATCTGTTTCTCAGGAGCTAGTTTGTAAATTTCTGCAGTTGCCAAGATTCTCTAAGGAGGTCCTACCAACTACTTAGGTTGCAGTGATGAAGTAAATAGTTCTCAAGAGCCGGGAGACATGCTGTAAATCTCTCCTCTGCATAAGCTTCAGGATGCAACTGCTTCTCAGAAATAATGGCTTCTGTTTCACTTCTTTGTGCTAAATCACACGTGAACGCCTGTTATTGGCACACTCCAACTAGGAACCACATACAGGGAGGAGGATTCTGGGAAAAATAATCTTTAGCTTTAGAAAAGAGTGGTGGTGCCTAATGGGCAACAGGTAAGGAAACACATCACCTTAAATACTGTTTCATTCATTCAACACAAATCTAGAGTATCTAGTACATGCTTGCCAGATACTCTGAATACAATGCATGTCGTTTCTGATATAAGGAACTTTAAGGAAGGCAGTAATTGGGCTAGATGTCATAAGAATAGTGAGTACTGTCAAGGAGAATTCCAGAGGGTTGGAAAAGAAGTTAACAGGTATAAATATTACTAGGGGTAGAACAGTGGAGTTAAGGAAATAAAGTCATGTTAGTCTTCTGTAAGCACTAGATGTTTAAACTGAGAACTAAAGGAGAAGGAGTCAAAATATCATTTATTATTTACCTGGCAACTTTCGTTTATTTCCTTTGTTCTTACAAAAATCATGAGACAATTATGAGTGTCTCCATTTGACAGATAGAGAAACTTATCTAAAGTCACACAGCTAGTAAAGGGCAGAACAAGAATGTGATTGAAAAGTTTACTAATTCAGTGTTCTATGCTTTCCATTCTTCTATACTGACTCTCATATCATCCAGGGTTACATTAATAAAGCAGGTACAATACAAACAATATGGAGAGAAAAATTAACTTTGTTGTTTTAAGAATTGTAGGTATAAATGATAATCTCACAAAAGCATAAAATTAAATTTTATATATTTATTTAAATGCAAATGCAGAAAAGATACATGTGATGCAGTAGAATGTAATTTAACTCATGCTTGTATATGTAAATGGAGGAAGAAAAAATGAAAAATATATGGAGAGAGAAAGAAGAAATGAAAGAAGGAAGGAAGGAAGGAGGGAGGGGGGAAGGAGGGAGGGAAGGAAGGAAGGAAAGAAGGAAGAAAGGAAAGAAGGAAGGAAAGAAAGAAGGAAAAGACATTTTCTGCTTTCTCAGTTTATTCAGTCAACAAAGATAATTGATGATCACCATAAGCCTGTCCCTATTCTAGGAGTTGGTGATAAAAAGCTAAATGATTTATGACACTTGCAGTCAAGGCCTGAGAGGAGAGGCAGGTAAGTAGTTAATGATGACAGATGTTACTTGAATGTGTCCTCCCATCTCCCTTTCTCTTCTGATATGTACTCTCCTACCTGTGTCACTTAGTTTCTCTGTATTTTAGTGCTTTCTGCTAGCCTCTCCATAACTTTTACTTTCATTCCACAACCAGCCCACTCAAAATCTTTATTATTATAAAACCATTCAAAACATTAAACAACCCTGGTTTAAATATTAGAAGAGCATGTGATAAAATCTATAAGGAATATGTTATGAATAACTAAGTGTGTCTTAAAGTATTAGATTTTCCAAATTTGGTTGTATATTAAAGAATTTATTTGTTATAACACAATTATGCCAGAACATCAGGAGCTTTATCTGAAAAGTAGGTATTTCTGCACCTTGATAATTATAGTACAGAAGTTGACTTACTATCCATTTTCATCTCCATCACAAAATTATTGACCCAAATCAGCCAGACCAAATAAGTCCTATACCTGAAAGTTCAGTTCTCTAATACACTGAATGTCTAGAATCTTTATTTCTGGAAGTACTTCTTACTGGGAACATTATAAATAAAAATAGATTAAATAAAATACAAATTCCTTGTGTAAGATAATAGTGAAAATGCTCTATAAATATAAAGCATTATCCTAATTATCAGCTTAGAAGTATATTATATTGAAATAAGCCAAAGAAGGGGTAGGAATTTATGTCACTCATGGTCCAACCAAAGAAACATAATCCAACTCAGATAATTAAATAGAGAGAATTCAATAGAAGAATCTAATCATGACAGTTGCAAAAAGATGCAATGGCCAAGAAGGTGAAACACAAATTAGCAACAGATTAAGGTACTTCACCCACTGGGCTCAAGGTTCAAAAAGAGGAGTGGATGTTACCAGAACTCAGCAACTTGAACTGCCTGGTGGATTCTAAAGCTAGCAGTTGCTTCTCAGAGAGGGCATGTAGTCACTGCCAGAGGTGTCACCTGAAGTGAAGAGGGAGATAGTGCCTTGGCTTCCTTCACCTTTTGTCCTCCAGTCTCCTTCCAGAGCATCCCAGTGATGAAATTTAACTGAAAGATAGTTCCCAGTGGAACCAGGAAATACAGTTTACAAGGGTCATCCCTTGAAACTCAGAGCAGAGTTGGGGGAAAGTGAGGTTTCCAAGCAAACAAGCAGTGACTAGCAAAACACCATTTTGAAATGGTTACTCTTTTTTTCCTCATTTCCTAAAATTGTTATGAACATTAACTTACATCTTTGTTAATACTATTATAAATGAGTTAAGACATGCTCTGAAATGAATTGTGTATTTTTTAATAAAAAATCAATTTCTCAGCTTGATGAATCTATTTGTACATGGTGTCCACATATTCCAATGATTATAAATAGAAGTCCGTGTTGTTTACCTGGTTAAAACTCAAAAAGGCTTCCCAATGAACTTAGAATGAAGTAGACAGTTGGCACTCTTTTCTTCTGGGCCCTCTGAGGCTCTTGCCAACTCTTACGAAACCATGTCTCATTACTTTCCCCTCAAGCTACTGAATTCCTCTTGCTCTGGCTGTCTTCCTCTTTCTAAAACAAATAAAACTTTTCCTTCATCATAATATATTTAAATTTGCTGACTGTTTTGCCTGCTATACTTTCTTCGTATATGTTTTAGCTGGCTTAGCATTGAGGAATCAGCTAAACTTCCACACCCTCGGAGTAGGCTATGTGTCTGTTCTACCTAAGGAAGTCTTCTTATCACTCTTCCATGAAAGTCAGTCACTTTCTACATAGCATATTCCAATATCTGATATTTTCTTTTTTTGCTTGTTGGTTTCCACTAGAGTTGAAAACTCTCCCTATATAGAGACTTGTCTTGGCTTCTAATGAATCTGGTCCCCAGCAACTAAAAGAAAATGTTTGGCACATATGGACACTTCATAAATATTTATTAAATGCATAAATACATACATGAATGAATATTGTATTGCTGGACTTTAAGCTCCTATTTTGTTTCCTTCATCTGGCCCTGCTTTGCTTGCTGCCTTAAGAGGCTTGCCACCTCCCCTAAGAAAAGATACATTTAAAATTGATTGTTTAAGTACCAAGTCACTATCTAAACAGATAAAATTGGTTCACATGGTTATTCTTTTTAAAAATCAGCTACCTAGATCTCTCTCTCTCTTCCTTTGCTTCAGGAATGGATGTGGTCAACAGATTCTCCAAATCTCACTCCGGATTTCCAGAAACGTTTTATGGATTTTTTTCATAAAATTCGAAACTTAGATTCAGAAAAAGAAAAACTCATGCAAGTGTCTTCAACTCAGCTAGCTTTTCAAACTGAATTTTCTCCAAAACAGGGAGTATTGAGTGCTTGCTCAGCTATATTTAAATTGGTACTTGGTCTCCCCTTTGTACTTTCATCTAGGTGTGTCTAACTTCCTTGGCAAGGAATTCCAATGTGAGAAATGTTAAAAGATAAATTTTAGACAAATTACATTTAACAGATTTTATTTGAGCGTTGAACAATTCATGAATCAGACAACAGCCAGAACCAGAAGAGGTTCAGAGAACACTGCCCAGCAGCATGAGCAGCAAGCTTTTATAGGGTGAGCATGGAAGCAAAGTACAGAAACCACCTGACTGGCTACATCTATACATCTCCCTTACTTGGGCATGGTGTGATGAGGCATTTGTCTTATTTGGTCATGGTCTGATCAACTGACTGCCTGTGATTGGCTAAAATTCAGCAGTTTATTACAAAATATACTCTTAAATTAGGGTTTAGTTTGTTTACACACTAAAATAGTTTTCAGTTTGTTATTTAGTAATTCAAAGTACAGAGACAGCTTTAGGCTGGCAGCCTCCTTTTAATTAATTTAACAGGAAAAATGGATGGTAGCATAAAAAACTTGCTCTCTTTTCCCTAACACTGATTTTCCACTACATTCTTATCTAGTGCATTTTTTAATTTCTTCTTTTTTATGCAAATGCAATAGTATAAAAATTGAACATGTGATAGAAGTTGTTAAAAATGTTTACTATTTGGCCGGGCATGGTGGCTCACGTCTGTAATCCCAGCACTTTGGGAGGCTGAGGCAGGTGGATCATGAGGTCAGGAGATCGAGACCATCCTGGCTAACATGGTGAAACCCTGTCTCTACTAAAAATACAAACAATTAGCCAGGCATTGTGGCGGGCACCTGTAGTCACAGCTACTCAGGAGGCTGAGGCAGGAGAATGGTGTGAACCCAGGAGGTGGAGCTTGCAGTGAGTGGATATTGCACCACTGCATTCCAGCCTGGGCAACAGAGCGAGACTCCATCTCAAATAAAAAAAAGTGTTTATTATCCAAAAAAGATAAAACAATGAAAAAACAGACATGAAATCATGGCAAACAAAGCTATGATAGATGAATGAACTGTATGCCTTTCCTCTACAGTTGGCCATTGAATGCTCAGTTTATATGCTGAAGGAAAGTCTGTCCTAGGCCTTTTTGTTTTAATTTTTGTTACATGTATCTTTAAGTCTACTTATTAGAAAAATGAACCTCATATGGTTTGTATAACTGTGGCTTGTTTTCCCACCCCTTTCCATGGTGTAGTCCCTAATGCTGTATTTGAGTCTCATCTCTCTTTCCTTCCCATCTCTCTGAAACTTCCATTCTACTGTCTTAATAATAGCCTTGGCTCCATTCCCACTCTTCTTTCAGCTCTGGCTTGTGTCTTGCTTTCCCCCTGGCTCCAAGCCCTGTTCCCACCATCTTAGCCCTTCCAACTTCAGCTCCTTCAGTAATTTTCACTGCACCCCACCTCTAGCTACAAATTTACATTCTGTTTTGGCAAACATCCACACTTTCCTGCCCAATCCCAACTGCCTAATATACAGTGCCATTAAAATCTCAGAAATTAATCTTGAATTCTTTCAACTCTTCATAGATTTAATTTTTCCAAGTTATGTGTATTACTGGAACTATTCTTAATATCACTTTGACTTCCAAACATGTAGTTCTTTGGGCCACATGACCCATAACCTCAAAAACTAAATTCTGTATTTTCTGCCTTCTCTCTTATATTATTATTATTTTTCCTTAAAAAAAGCTCCATTTCTTTTGGCCTGGAGATGTTAAATTAATTCCAACATGATACTTTAAAACCTCTCAGCTGTAATGCCTTACCACAATCACAGACAAACCTGAAATCTTCCCAACACATATCTTGTCCAAATAGTAGCTTGTTCCTTTTTATTTTCAAGTTTCCAAGTCCAGTAACATATTTCTCTTTCCTACAAATTCCATTCCTCTTCTCATAGGCATTGTCTGGAACTGGGTAACATCTTTCCTGTTATTCCCATGAATTATTTTTATTTGCACTGTTCAGCAAAAGAAGCCACACATATTCATCCTCTGGCTTCACAGAGTGGCTGTGATTTTTTTTCCTGCTCATTCACTTCTGTGCTGTCAATCTCACATCCCTGACAGGGAGGGCTCAGTTCCACTCACACAGAATTCCATACCAAACCTCTCATGCTTAAAGGTTACCAAAGTTCAAAAAATTTTTCATATGAGCCCCCAAAGGAAAAATTAATTCTTTGTGTTAAGGAGTTTGTGATATGCACTGCTGTCCAAAGTATGAGGCCAATTCAGGCATCCATCTTGCCTGAACCCAAGGATCTTGCCTGGAGTAGAAGCTCTTTCTTACAAAACAAGTGGCAGATTCTGCTGAGTACAGCCTCTGGCTGCAGGGGCAGGTCTGGTCAAACACAGGACAAGCCGCAGGAGCTAGAAAATTACCATGTGGGGAGAGTGATGGGGTGGACTTGGTAGACAGATACCTCAGATCTTTCAACTCTTAGGTGGACAAGCACTAAGTTGGCTTCTAAATACATTTCTAAAGGTCCCCAGTGGGACTGGGCCCAGGTTTACCACAGCAGTAAATTTCTCATGGAGGCACACTGTATTGATTATCTCCCCTTATCTCTCTCATTTCTCCTTTTCTTCATGATTACCACATAAACCATCTGCACTCACATTCATGTCTCAAAGTGTGTTTCTGAACTCTAAGAGTAAGACTGCCATTTAATTTCCATCCTCTCCATTATTCTGTAGCATACTTTTACATGCTCATTCAAGTTACCATCGAAAAGTTGATAAAAAGTCTGAAAAAATCCGGTGAGGTTAGAAACTCATAATTGTACTAGTTACTAAGTAAAGACTACTGTTTTTTTCCTCAGTGTGATGACATTACATTTATTATCTTCATCATTATAAATTGTTTACTCATTGATAATTAACTTTATGACCACATTTCTACTCAGCAGTCTTTTTTGTAGGCATTTAGTTAGCCCATATTTCAATGAGGATTTAGTGCAGATATGAATGTTGTTAATATTGGTTTTCCCAATAAATAGGAGCTTTCAGCGCCTAATATTCCCCAGTCATCATCGTGAGGGCTTTATGAATATTTACACATTTCATCTTTAAAACAATCCTACGAGACAGGTAGTATCATTATCCTGGTTTTTCAGAAGAGTTCTGAGGCAAAGATAATAAGTAGCACGGCCAAGGGATGACAGTTAATGAGTGGCAGAGCCAGGAATAGACTCTCCCTTCCCCCGTCACTGCAATCTCTCTTTAGTACCCATGTACTTAACCATTATGCTGTATCAGTTATACATTTTCCAATAAAATAAAACTTAAGTTATCCAGAATAAAAAGTCATCCAATTAAAGAGATTTATTTTAGCATAATGAGCTACTAACGACAACAAAAAATTCTTAGCTGTCAGATTTTCCTCACCAGTATTGTTTACACTGAAATGCCTGCTATTTAGTCTTTAATTGGTATACATAAGCAATCCCATTTCTGTATGCATTTACTAATTTCTTTCTTATCACTAATGTTTTATGAGGTTACAAGGAAATATCATATTACACAATACCCAGCATTTATGTTGAAAAAATATTCCATATTGAACAACTTTGCAACCTCCTTCCTTTAGACATCTGTGACATTGATCTCATTCATTTCAACCCATTCTCCCTGTAGTACCTGCCCCCAGTGAGTCTCCTTGTCAAAATACCCCTGTGGACTCCTGTTTCTTTCTTGGAACTTATGGAAAAATAATATTACAAAAATGAATTATTACTTCAAAGAGGTTGATTAAATAATAAAAATGAACACAAAAAGCACAAGAGTAACAATAACAAAACTCTTTAATATTCTACAATTATAATGAGAAAGTTAATATGTGTATATTCTACCATGTGCCACACAGTATGCTATGCATTTTATAGATGATATCTTACCCCGCTCTAACAGAATTCCTTTGAATTTGTCAGCATTGATTCCATCTGACAGAAAATAAAATTTAAATATCTGAGAACTCTGCCAGAGTATCTACCTCTTTCCATTTAACTACATTGGAACAATCTAACTCATGGATAACCCATATGTAATGTGAATATAATTCTCAATTTACCAGCTAAATCTACTCAGTCACTTATGGTCAAGCAGTTTTATAAAAGCAAGTAGTTTAACCAGTTATTTTCACATTTATTCTAGCTCTTTCCCAACACAATATCTTATCTCTGTTATTTACAAACAGAAAAGGAAAGTCTAATACGTATTATTCAACTATATGATTATTTGTAAATTCATTCTGATAATAGTTAATAGTTCAAGGAAATGATGCAGCGAGTGGTCAACCAATGAATATCAGCTATAGGAAATGATCATCTAAGCTTGAAATAGCAAGTGATCAACTGATGTATATTAGCTATAGGAAATGAATTTTGCTTAGCTAATAAGAGAGTATAATCTTATTAAGAATGAATAAGAGGAGTGGATAATGTTCATAGTCTTGGAAAATTCATCCATGGCAATATGAAATATTTCTAAAAGGTAGTCATCATTTTACTCTTTTTGTATAATAAGTTTACAGGGTGAGCAGACTTGAAAAATAATATATCATGCCATGCATAGTTACTCCTGAATAGAATTAGAATTCAACATATCTGTAAATTAGTCAGGAAGAAACATAATTATATGCAAAGTGAGGAAAGATGCAGGATAGGGTGGAGAGTTATGTTGGAAGAAAAAAATTAAGCATCACAATTGTGTGATGATTATATGCAGATTGGTACTAAAACCAAAACTGTGAAAATAAAATAGAAAAGTAGTATGAGCAGGCAGTCTAATGTGGTTCCTTGCAAAAAGAAAAGCGTATGTCACAGTCAACTCAATTATTTTTTGTGGCCTATATTACATTTTGTGCTGAGTCATGTTCCACTGGGGTTTGAAGTCGAATGGCCTTTCACTCTCAAGTTCTCCACTGCATGGCTGCTTAGATGTAGACGTGACTGTAGGCAGACAGATGAGTTACAAAGTTAAAGCGTGTTTATACACAAAGAATGTTGGCAGGTGGCTTTTTATTCTACTTAGATGACTCAAGAACTGTTGTGGATGTGTAAAAAAAAGTAAAGGTTTTACTCTGTGCTATAGAATGCTTCTGTATGTATCAAAGTGTAAAGTATGTATCACATTAAACTATATGCTAACATACACTGAAAATATTAAAACACAGTTACAATGTTAGAATATTTTAATTATTTTTATAACTATATCTTTATAGTAGTAATGCTAATAATGTTATCGAACTTTTATTATATTTGTTTTGTTAAAATACTACGTATGGTTATAAAAACATAGTAAGTATAAATATATGTATATTTCTCAGAAATCCTTTAAAAAACAGGTAACTTTTCATGCATTATTATTTTTAAACATTTTAATTATATGCCAAATAAATACATTTTTAACCAACCTTAGCTTCAATAACATATACACTAAAAAATTTGTATATAAAACATTTTGCCATCTGACTTCAAATTAGCAGGTCTGAACTGAGGATAATATTAAAATTGACATTCCAGTTAATCCAGGAAACAGAGGAGGCCTTAGGTATTGCATCAGGAGTTAGGAGAGTCAGAGTTATAACAAAGAAGATCGTGTGGCTCCTTTGAAGAAAAAGTGAGAATAAGCAGCAAGATTAAAGCCATAAAAAACTAGAATAATGATTGACTCAATTTTGATGAACTGAAAAGGCTATGGATAACAAGAGTTCCAGAACTTCCTTTTCTATGAAGTCCTGTGCCTGCTCATTGAAAAACAATGAATCAGTCTAGACTTGCAAGACGAAATAATTCCCTCAAAGCTGGACATTTATATATTATTTATGTAGCATATTTCAATATTGATGGTATAGCCTCATATACAGTTGATTGTAAAACCATTCTTTCTGTTAGAGTAGGTAGGCAGACATGAGCAGGGCAGGAGAAGCCCACCCACACATACCAGGAATGTCAAGAGAGCATCAGGTGATGGTCAGGCAGCTGTTAAACTGCCTCTCTAACATAATAATTGATTCCAGCTGGTACCGGTGAAAGGCAGTCTCCCAACAGATAGAAAACACCTGAAGCTGGTGATCAGCAGCTTTAGAAAACACGGGAAGCTGGTGATCAGCAGCTTCCAGATAAGATCTCAGCACTCTAAGAGACAAGATGGTGGAATTTAACTAGTATATGACCTTTCTTTAGGAACGCTCAACTGGTAAGATTTTACTTACATTTCCAGATACAATTCATTGTTTTCTCCACTGCGTTCAGTAGAATTTATTAATTATTATCTTAGAAGTATTTTGATTTTGAGTTTCAGCAAATTTATTCATTTGAGGGTTGAAATTTAATCCTCTTATTATATTTTTTGTTTAATCTCAATTTCCCTTTCCATCTTTTGTTTCCAAAAGTAGCCACTCTGGTCTGCCCCAGGGTTATTTTTGTTGTTTCCATATGTTCTTGTGTGTAAATGCTGAACTTTTTACATTTATTGAAAATATCTTTTCCCTGTTGTGCTTCCATCTGTATAATTTCTACTAATTTATCTTCCAGTACAGCTTTCAACTCTATGCATCTAAATTTGTTAAGCTTATCTTTTCAGTTTTTAAAATTAGTTGCTGTATTAAATTCTAGTACATTTATTTCCAATTTACCCTTATTCCTAGGGTATAGCAATTCAGTGGATCCAACTCAGATCCTAGGTATTTTCCAGTGCTTCTCATCCTTAATGCTCCTTGAATTGCAATTATTCTTTTCTTTTCACTTTGATCCTAACAAACTTTGCATTTCTCTTCTCAGCCTCTTAGACAACACTCTCTAAAAAACCTTTTACCTCTAACCTAGTGTTGATTTGAAATCAGTATATGCCTCAAGGCAAGAAGGAATATAGAATATTGGGTTGACCTTTATATGTCCCTTTTCCTCAGAATTTTAGCGTATGAAGTTCTAAATGCCTTTCTGACCATTTATTCCAGTACTTGTATCCTCTGAGCCCATGAGACTGTTGAAAGCTCACCTTACCTAGTACTTTTTACACACCCCTCTAATCACATTAAGTTATTGCTCTGTGTGGCTTACTAGTAGACAGATGACTTCAGGAAGAAAGCAGAATACAAGATAAAGCTCACCTCAAAGTCTTCTTTCTATATCCATTCACTGAGCCCCTCGAATCCTCACCGTCTTTGTAGTCAAACAGCTTTTCTTGTTGTTTTTAGACAAATATGTTGGTCTTTTGTAATCAAATCATATATTCCAGAAGAGAAAGTCCTTCATCTCACATAATTTGTCTTCGACCTTTTTAGATGCTGTTCCTACTATCGGGAACACCTTTCGCAAATTATTTACCAAGTTGAGAGTTTCTAGATATCAAAGTTGATTAAAGTGTTGTTACTTTGTAATTTATATGAACCACTTTATATAGATACATATTTCACTACTTTATATGTAACTCACTGCTTTATATATAACTCATTTATATATTTCTGTATAACTCATTTTATGTTCAGGATGTTATATATGTGTGTATATTTATATATGTATATATGCATTATATGTGTGTATATGTGTAATTCTACATTTATGAAAATACTGTCACATATATAACAAATATATATTATACATATATAGTTTTACTTCGTTTCAATTATATCATGTTGCCTAAAATAAGGTATGCTTTAAAATGATGTCTTCGTATGATTTCAGATAGATTAAAAAGATTATAAAAAAATAGAAATAGATATAGAAATCAGTCACAACTTTAGAAAAATAAGTGTAACTTTCTGACAAAATTAAATTGATATCTGCTGGAGCCCATTTACCATCAGGGAATATTTTAGGCCTGATAGATTGTGTCTTTGACTATTAATATCCCAGTCTGTTGTTCATTAAACATTCCACCTGAACAGATACTTAAGATCACCTGTAGAAAGTAAGAACATTTACTCTAAAATCTTCAAGACACCTAAGGAGAAGTGACAGCAGGAGCTAACCAGCTTGTAGAAAATTATTCTAATGAGCTTCCAACATGTTGTTTTTTCTTTTAACTTGAAAAGGGTCTATATTGTATTCAAATATAATCCATATAACAAATTTTATGCTCTTTATGTTTTATGCTCATATGTTCTAGTTCTGGGGATGTAACAGTAAGCAAACTGTAACAGACAAAATAAATCTAATGATTATAGCATCATGGAAGTTAACATGGGTTCAGAAAAGAAGCAAGGAAGGGGGCTAGGAGAGTGTTAGGAAACGAAATTTCTAAATATGGTGGGGACTCACTGAAAAAGCAACAGTTGCATAAAGACATGAAGGCAAGGGAGTGAGCCAAATAAGTATATGGGGGCGGAGCTTTATAAGCAGAAGAAAACTAGGAGAAGGCCTGAAGGTGAAATTTGCTCTGATAAGTGCAAGAAAGATACACAGTAAATAATAGGAAAAGTAGTTGGAGAAGTATTTAAAGAAATAACTGAGAGACAAGAAGAGTTTGACAATGGGGTGAAAGGAGCTTCTGGAGGGCCAGGTAGCCCACTGTAAGATCTTTTACTTTGAGTGAGATAAGAAGTTGACCACTGACGGATTTGATTAGAGATGTGGCATGATCTTAATGACATATTAGAAGGTTAATTCTGTGTGAAGAGTGAAATCGTTAAAAAAAAAAAAAGGCAAAATTAGGGATACTAGTCACATGGTGGCTCAGGTGAAACATTTTGCCTTGAATTCTGGTCGTGGTCCTGGTGATGACCTTGGCAGACGTCAAAACCTTAATATATTTTAAATAAAAAGCAGGATTTTCTGATGGAGTACTACATGTGGGTTGTCAGAGAAATAAAGTAATTAAGGGTAATTCAAATTTTTTTTAAGTCTAAACAATTGGAATAACAGCTTTTGAACAAAACCTTTAAGGAAGCCAATGTGGGTCAGAAGTCAGAAGTTTCTGTTTAGACATCTTACTGTTAAGTTAAACACACAGGTGGAATGTTTTACTAACAAGGTGAATATAAAAATCTGAATTTCAAGGGTGAAATGGTCTTAAACTGTGAATTTAAGATCAATTCACAAAGCAATCATATTTAATGACATGAACCTGGAGGAGGTAAATTAAGGGAGTGAATGTAGAAAGAGAAACTGAATTTAGGAGAGCTGAGGAGAAACAAAAATAGCAGGCAGGAAGAATAAGTGAGGTAAGTGGAGAATAAGAATTAAATAAAGAAAGAATTTAGAGGAAAAAGGAGTAGTGAATCATACCAAATGCTGGCACCCAGGCTGTAAGCTGAGGACTGAGAAATTATTAGTTTAATATGAAGTTTGTATGGTTAAAAATGGACTCCACTGATGTGTTTTATAAAGAAGTATTGTGTTAGAGGTGAGGCCAAAAGATAACATGGCCCAATGTCAAGAGAGAATTAGAAAAAATAGAATAGAAACAGGAATATGAACTGAATGAACATAAATGAATCAGCATCTGAAGTGGAATATAGGATCCAGCCTTATTGCACGTTAGGTATCCCTGCTGTTGTAACCCTAATATATACATATCTTAGTACAGGTTTATTTCTCATTTTTCTAAAACCCAAAGGATAATACCTGGTTGTGGCCTTCCTCATAGTCACATAGAGATCTACTCACTTTCACTGAGTGGCTGTGTCCTCATTTGGAAACTCTGATCCCAGATGACAGATGGGGAAAGATAGTATGCAGGAGGCATCCTGCTTCTTAATTTTTTTTTTTTTTTCCCCCGCGAGACCATGTCTCACTTTGTTGCACAGGCTGGAGTGCAATGGCATAATCATGGCTTACTGCAGCCTTGGCCTCGACCTCCCAGGCTCAATTGATCCTCCTGCCTCAGCCTCCCAAGTAGCTTGGATTATGGGCATGTGCCACCATGCCCAGCTAATTTATATTTTATATTTTGTAGAGATGGGGATCTTGCTATTTTGCTCAGGTTGGTCTCAAACTCCTGGGCTCAAGCAATCCTCCTACCTCAGCCTCCTGAAGTGCTGGGGTTACAGGTGTGAGCCACTGCAACCGGCCTTTAAACTTTTATGAAAAAAATGGACACATTTCTGTTCACTTTGGTGACAACTAAGCACGTGGTCCCTTATACAACTACAGACACTGGGAAATGCAGTCTGTGTCCCTGGGAAGAGGATGGAGTGGATTAAGAGATTTGGTGTAGTTCACAGTGTTCTTCTCCATAGCAAGAGATGTAATTTGTTTTGTTTTTTATTTTGTAACATTGAATTTATCGTTGATATTTAAAAATTTTAAAACAATTTTTGATTTACATAAAAATTGGAAAGACAGTAGAGCAATTCCCATATACTCCACATCCAGTTTCCCATGTTAATATCTTACATCACTATGGTATGTTTGTCACCATTAATGAACAGATATTAATAAATTATTAACTAAAATCTATACTTTATTCAGATGTTGTTAGATTTTGACCTAAGGACATTTTTCTGTTGCAGCAGATTATATTACATTTAGTTTTTACATCTCCTTGGGGTCCTCTTTGTTGAGCTTTTCAAAGTGCCTTGTTTTTGGTAACCTGGGCAGTTTCAAGTCATGATTAAGTGTTTTGTAGAATGTACCTCAACTGGTATTTGTCTGTTGTCTTTCCTCATGATCAGTTTTAAGTTATGAATTGTGAGAGGAGGACCACAGATAGAAAGCAATATTGTCATCCTATCAGATCAAGAATGCATACTATCCATCTCACCTATCAATGTTGATGTGAATGCTGATCACCTGATCGCGAACCTTTATCACCTGGCTGATGGTTTTGTGTTTAATAGGAACACTAGCATATGTGTAATCCATTTGAGAAAATAGAAGAAAGTGGGAAATGGAAGATAAAAATGAATTAGGAAAAATGGTATTGATCCAGGCCACATGTGGACATTTTGGCATTTCGAAGAAACCAGGACAGGGCTTTCTTAGTAACTGAAGAAAAGTCACAATGTGGTGACAGCTTGCTTCCTATTCTCAGAGAAATGAGAAGCAAAGTCAGCCTGGAGTAGTGATAAGATATGTTTGCTGTTTGTGGAGAAGTGAGAAAGCGTATGCAATTGAGGATAATCCGTTTATTTTAAAAAGGTCCCCAGTTTGCCATGATTAGACTTAAAGATTTTTTAATTTTACAGTGATGTAAAAGCAATGTACATTCAGTAGAAACCATACTTTGAGAACCTATATAACCGTTGTTTTTAACTTCAGTGTAGTGTTCAATTAATTACATGGGATATTCAACACTTTGATATAAAATAGGCCTTGTTTTAGGTGATTTTGCCCAACTGTAGTAACACAGGTGTTCTGAGTTAAGCTGATCTATAATGTACAATAGACTAGGTATATTAATGCTATTTTGATTTAAGATATTTTTAATTTAGGATGGTTTTGTTGAGATATAACTCCATTATTAACCCAAGGAGTATATTTACTTGTCACACATACATATTTATACCTACATGAAAGTGTATATGCAAAACTAAAAGCCAAAGCGAATCACACATGTGTATTCCAAATACTATCAATTAACTCTGTATTGGTGCCTATGTTCATGAAGAGTATATTTGTGTGTGCATGCATTTTACACAGATTCCACTTGATCATTCGTAAGATCTTTGTTCACATGACTGAAAATCAGTTGTTTCATGCTGACAATTCATAACTATAGGAGAAAAACCCAAATATATTGAAATAAAGAAAATTCCTACATTAACACACAGATGTTTATTTTCAAGAACCAGAGAGGGCTGGGTGCAGCAGCTCATGTCTGTAATCCTACCATGTAGGGAGGCCAAAGCAGGAGGATTTTTTGAGGCCAGAGATTCGAGACCAGCCTGAGCTACATTGCAAGACTTCCTCTCTACAAAAAATGTTTTTAAAAATTAGCTGGGTGTGGTGGTGTGCACCTGCCTGTAGTTCCAACTACTCAGGAGGCTGAGGCAGGATAGTTTGAGCCCAGGAGTTCAAAGCTGCAGTGAGCTATGATTGCACCACTGTACTCTATCCTGGGTGACAGAGTGAGACACTGTCCCCAAAAAAGAACCATAAAGAAAATATTGCATTTGTTGCTGTGTGGCATTTATATATTTGCATAAATGGCATATAAGATGACATGGGTTATATGACATGGCATATGTCATCTTATATGCCTCTTGTGAAAATATATATCTGCACATTTGTATTATGTCAAAGAATTACTACATGGTTATTCTTTTAACAGTGAGATATCAAATGATCTAGAACTTTATATCTAGTAGTAATACATGGATTTAATATAAACTTTCACATTTGAAGGAAGCATTTTTAGATCATTTTGATATTAAAATGAAAACATGGTTGCGATAACTTCTGGAAATTATTTGCCTTTTCATATGGAACATGTGAATGAGATTTTCATTGCCATACTTCTGGAATCCTCATTTCTCTTTTACATAAGGAAAACAGTGGATAGTGTGAGTTGTTTGAAACTGGAGGGGAATCAAACAACAACCATGATTGCACTTGAATTTATACAACCAAAATAGATTTAAAGGACATGAAAGCTTTTGTTTTTGGCCATCTGACTATATATGGCATTAATATAGTTTTTATATTGAATCACTGGCAAGCATGTGAGTTTATTCAGAGGTTGTTCATAAGTTTTTGTTGTGTTAGCAATGTAATTCTTTTAGGGAAGTGAAAATTTCTTAAAAGGTCTAATTCACACAAATGTATTAGAAACAATACAGTATTATTCTAATTATATATAATAATAAACATTTTTCATGGTTAATATACTTACTAATTGAAAAAGAATAATGTTTACTTAAAATCATTTACACTTTCACTTTAAAATTATTTTTTCAAAAAGTATATTGTTAAAGTTGGGCTTCATCATTGAGAAAATGCAAATTAAAGCCACAATGAAACACCACCTCCTACCTGTTAGAATGGCTGTTATCAAAAAGATGAAAGATAACCAGTGTTGGTAAGGGTATGGAGAAAACAGAACCTTCATACATTGTTGACGGGAATTTAGATTAGTACAGCCATTTTGGAAAAGAGTATGGAGTTTCCTCAAAACTAAATATGTAATTACTATATGATTCAGCAATCTTACTTCTGGATATGTAGCCAAAGGAAATTGAAATCAGTACATTAAAGTCTTATGTTCACTTCAGCATTATTCACAGTAACCAAGATATGGAACCAATCTAAGTGTCTCTCAATGAAAAAATTGATAAAGAATATTAGCTATACACAATGGAATACTATACAGCCTTAAAAGAAGGAAATTCTGTCATTCAAGACAACATGGAACTGGGGGACGTTATGACAAGTGAAATATGCCAGGCACAGAAAAACAAATACCACACTATTTCACTTATATGTGGAATATAAAATAGTCAACCTCATAGGAGCAGAGAATGGAATGGTGGTTACCAGAGGCTGGTGGAGAAGGGAGAGAGGGATGGAGCAAGGGGAAATGTTGATCAAATAATATAGTTTCGGTTAGACTGCAGGAACAAGTTTTAGCACTCCATTGACTGCATCGTCATCACAGTTAACAATAATGTGTATTTCAAAATTGCTAAAACAATGGATTGTTTTCATTCTTACCACAAAAAAGTGATAAGTTGAGGTGGTAGACATGTTGATGGCTTGATTGAGTCTTTCTACAATGTACACATAAATTAAAACATCAAAATGTACTCCATAAATGTTATTTATTTATAATTATTTGTCAATAAAGACAATTACATAAAAATATAAAAAACACAACCTTTAACTTACGAGACAGTGGTGTAAATTAGTATCTTCCAATTAAGAAGAAAATCCCAATTATAAGGATAGTACGAACGTGTTTTAGAATGTTTAAAACATACCCCTGTATATTTGTCATTCAGTGAGATACAATTGTGCATTTGAAATTCCAATTTTATTACATAATTAAAGTCAACCATATCATAGTTTTTTTTTGTAATATAATTCGGTGAAAATAAGAGATTTTAAAGCAAGCAAATAAGTTTTAAAACTGACCAAATGAGTCACAAAGAAATATCTATTATGCATACTCTAGAGATAATAGTATAAATATGGAAATATATGTGTTTTTTTTCAAAATATAAATAGAATAATTATGTTTAAGAAATACTTTCTCTAAGTACTAATCAAACTAAGGTAAACAAGATAAAAAATGTCCAAAGATTGAAAAGTGAAGACATAAATCTTTATGTATGTACCTAAAAATATTGGAAAAACTGTTAAAAACCAATATGCAAACTATTAGAAATAAAATATTTTACCAAGTTGGCCAGAATAACAATCACCACAAAAATATGCTTTCACAAGAAAAGAAAATAATGTATTTGAGAATAATTAGCAGAAATTGTATTAATATTCTTAAATAATAAAAGTATTTTGATAGCTATTATTCAGACTGTATCTTATTTTTCTGTCTAGCACATAAACTGATTTCCTGTTAGTATATATTATGTAAAATTCAACATGTTATCCTGGCCATATCAGGCATATTCCCAATATTCCAAACCCAACTTCTTGTATTTACAAGAAGAAAACTGAAACCACTCCTACAAATTTTATAGAATTAATCAGGGAAGAGACAGGGAGAGAAAAAATAAAGCTACAGTACATTCAGTATTAATGATTAAACCAGCTTACTCTCGCACCTGCTTTCTCTCAGCTGTTTGGTATCTATTGTCTTAGAATCATGTAGACCCTGTTACAAGATCATAGTTCCCCTTAATTCTTTGACGGATAGTGTAAACATTAGGTTGGTGCAAAACTGTGGTTTTTCCAATCACCCTTCGCAAAAACCACAACTACTTTTGCACCAACCTGATAAAACATTGTTTTCCCTTTGAGCTATTTCTTTAGGTCTTGCATACTGATAAAATTACTGACTCAGTGGGTCTGTGGAACCCCACTGAGGTCAGCTGGCCTGACAGACCCCACTGACGTCAGCAGATCTGAACACTCCGCAAGAGGCTGACTCGCCAAAAAATACAGTTTCCACACTCCTGATGATTTTATCCCCTTGACCCTGACCAGTCAACTCTCTCAATCTTCCAGCTTTTTGCCCTCTCTAATCCCTTTAAAGACTGCAGCGAGAGTCTCTTTTCATCTCCTCACTCACAGTGTTGTGATCATTAAACTCTTTCTCAGCTGCAAACCCTGCTGTCTCAGTATAATCAGTCTGTTGCCACACAGCAGGAAAATGAACCTGTTTTTCCTATAACAAAACTACTTACATTTGTCTTCCACAATGAAAAAGTAAAACAGTTTGAGCGACCCCAAAAGTCACATGGCATGCATCATGGTGGGACCAACTCTATTGATTTGCTTCATCAAACTATAGCCCATAAATCTCTGTAAAATAAGGACAATAAAATCTTTCTATTTTTATTTCGTAGCAATTCTGTGGTGATTTTTTGTAGTCTGTCTTTTGTGTCTGCCAGAATGTCCTTGCTTCCTCCTGATTTTCAAATCCAAGCTCCTTTTTCTGTTAAGTTCCTGATTTTAAAAGGGAACTTTATTATTCCTTAAACAGTATTACATCAAGCCATGCATACCCTACCTCTATTTGAAAAAATATGTGTACTTATACTCTAATAGGATTGATCACTGAGATACTGTCACACATAGATTAAGCTGATGTGACACTGGCCAGTTTCTTCCTACCCTGGGAGTGTCCCAAAACATGAAGCTGCCTTTTGTAAGCTGCCACACTCTTATTGTTCATTTTACTCTTCTGCTTATAGGAATGAGATGAAGTGAAGGAGAGCAGAGTAAAAACTGGAATGCCTTGTAATAGACAAGGTACCAGGCACTGTGGTATAATTGCTGCATAACAAGCCATATTTTATACAATGGTAACAACAATCATGCAATGTAAACATCCTTGTATTGATTTAATTCCAATGAAAGATTATCTTCACACACGAGCATTTTTTTTTTTTCCTCCGGTGACATAGGTATCCAGATGCAGAAGTCTTACTTCCTGCTTTTCTATGACATCATCCTTCAGAAGGCGGGGCATAGGCAAGAACATGATAAAGGTAAGTATTGCTCTTCAAAAATCATCTTTCCTAAAGCATGGTTTTCGTAATTTTACACACATATTTTAAAAAATATATAGAGACATTTTAATCAAGAACACAGTAGATAAATATTTGAGGAAATGTAACGACCCAACAGGTTCAACTTGAGCATTGCCTAGACAGAGCTGATTTATCAAGACAGGGGAATTGCAATAGAGAAAGAAGTTAATTCACACCACGCAGAGACTAGAGACTGTATGGGAGACTGTTATTACTCAAGACTTGTTATTACTCAGTCACTCTCCCTGAAAACTCAAAGATTAGGGTTTTTAAGCATTATTTGATGGGTGGGGGGGCCAGTGAGTCAGGAGTGCTTGTTGGTTGGCTTGGAAATGAAATCATAACGAGTTGAAACTGTCCTCTTGCACTGAGTCAACTCCTGGGTGGGGGCCACAAGGCAAGCCAGTTTATTGATCTGGGTGGTGCCAGCTAACCCATCAAGTGCAGGGCCTGCAACAAATCTCAATTGCTGACCTTAGGTTTTACAATATTGACCTTATCCTCAGGAATAATTTGGGGAGGGTCAGAATCATGTAGCCTCCAGCTGTGTGACTCCTAAACCATAATTTCTAATATTGTGTCTAATTTCTTAGCCCTACAAAGGCAGTTTAGTCCTCAGGCAAGAAGTTTTTTTGTTTGTTCATTTGTTTTTGTTTTTTGAGAAACGGCTGTCATTGTCTTTGTTTCAAAGTTAAACTATAAGTTTCACCCAAAGTTAGTTAGTTTGGCCTTTGAATGGGCAAGGACAGCTTGGAAGCTAAAAGCAAGATGGAGTTGGTTAGGGCAGATCTCTTTCACTGTCATAATTTTCTCAGTTACAATTCTGCAAAGGTGGTTTCAGAAATAGAGAAATATGTAGACATATCAGTCAAGAACATAGTAGATAAATATTTGAGGAGATATTATAATCTAAGAGAAATGTATAGAGATGAGCAAATGAAAGCAAACTATTTTCATGTCCTTTTCTCCCACAAAGCATTTGTGAAGGCTCCAAACCCCACAGGGCAGCATGCTCAGCTACAGAGAGTCATCCACCTGAATTCTTTTCTTTTTTGAGACAGAGTCTCTCTGTGTCGCCCAGGCTGGAGTGTAGTGGCACTATCTCGGCTCACTGCAAGCTCCGCCTCTTGGGTCCATGCCATTCTCCTGCCTCAGCCTCCAGAGTAGCTGGGACTACCGGCTCCCGCCACCACTCCCGGCTAATTTTTTGTATTTTTTAGTAGAGACGGGGTTTCACTGTGTTAGCCAGGATGGTCGCGATCTCCTGACCTCGTGATCTGCCTGCCTCGGCCTCCCAAAGTGCTGGGATTACAGGTGTGAGCCACGGCGTCTGGCCGTGATCCACCTGAATGTTGAAACCTGGCTATTTCAGTGAAGGGGAGGAAGAAGAATGTCTTTTTACTCTGAATGTATAATTTGTCAAACTTGCGCTTAAGATAGAAAATTGACCTAAAGATCTGCAAAACCCAAACTTATCCCAAACATGAAGATATACTCTATTTAAAATATTAATGAAGTTTATTTGTACCTTTTAGTGATTTATTTCTTATAAACACAAATCTGTAACTATATATTGACTCATCTCTTCTTGTTTTTATTTCCTCCTGTAATTACTAAATTGATTAGCATTATTCTTCATCTTGTCCAAGTAAATTTCCCAATTCCATGATAATGTAGACACACCCCAAAACCAAAACGCATTCAAATATGCAAGAACAATAACAACAAAAAAGCTCATGGGAATGTTGAAGGAATGATTTTTTTTTTTTTTTTTTTGCTAATGGGAGTAACCATCAACAGTCCTCACAAAACAATTCTGAAAGTATGTTTCACTGGCAGAAGCCATAGAAGATGAGTTCCCACTGTTATTTTCCAGAAGAAAATGATAGAAGGTTACAGTTTCCAAGATTATCGATCCCTATAGTTTTTGGCATTATTACATGTGATAAATTTGATGGTAGATATTTCATCATAATTTGAGTGAGACAATATAATCCCCAGTCCTGTTCTAATAAACTTTGTGATACATTTCCAAAAAAAAATAAATAAATCATTCTGGACCTCAGATCCCTAAAATTTAAAGGGAATTTGTATAATTGGCTATTTCTATTAATGTTTAATTCTGTGAATTTGTTATTCACATATGTTTTAGATTAAATATTTTTACTCCTTATTGAAAACCAATATTTATATATTTTTTCTTTTATTCATGGCTATTTAATAAAAAGAATCATCTTAAAATATTGTTTTTTTTTTTTCCGTTAGTAACTTGATTTCTAAAACTATGGAAGAATCAAGGCCAAAAAATTTTTTTCAGAGCCAATTTCTTCCAATATAATCTCATATTTGTGTTTCTATTATAATCTTCCAGGTTTTAAAACATTTGTCATAATTGAGGAATAAGAAGATAGTGTCTTTCAGTATTCTCTCAAATACTGACATTTCTCAAACTTTTTCAAAGAAATCTTAATTTTGAAAACTATTTTTATAGGTGTCATGGTGTCATAGAAAGATTTGTGGTTTAGTTATATAGTTTCAAATTATAGAAAAAATTCACCAAAGTATGAGATAATTAATCTGTATCAATCCAAGGAAAGAGGTATTCTCTAATAAAATCTTACTTTTTTGTTTGTTTGTTTTGTTTTGTTTTGTTTTGGAGATGGAGTCTCACTTTGTCCCCCAGGCTGGAGTGCAGCAGTGTGATCTTTGGTCACAGCAACTTCCGCCTCCCGGGTTCAAGTGGAGGGTTCTCCTTCCCCAGCCTCCCGAGTAGCTGGGATTACATAAGCCTGTCACCATGCCCAGCTAAAAATCTTATATCATTCTTCATAGCTGATTTATACTATTAAACAGATATACTATCTAGATATTTTATGGTGTAATATAAGTTATATTTATGACCAAGAAAGTTGATCAAAACAATTTCACATGATGTGAAAGCTCTCTTTTAATCATCAGTACTTTGAAGCAACCTACAGCCAACTTGTTTAGGGACACCTATGGATATAGTTGTGTGGAAGGATAGAATTTTCCTGTTCATTGTTTATCGTTCTCAATAAAGACCTCCATTTATCAGAATTTTCCACCCTTTACATGTAAAAAGTAGACCTTAAAATGGTAACTTACTGTTTTTTTTTTAAAGAACAAATTTGCTAAAAAATGACATGCTTAGGAGAACTACAAAGTGTGAGAGCTTCATGTTGGCATCTGGCTGAAGCAAACATGGGAAGAACACCAGCAGTATTCATAAGCAGAGAATGAGACAGTCTCACTTGAACACAAAATATATCATGTTGGCCATTTATTTGATGTCTATAAAAATATAAACAATTCTTTTTACCAAGAGATCAATTGCAGTGAACTTCTTACTATTCTGTTTGGTTAAAATGTACAATGTAGATTAATGACATGTATCTCTAATGTTGGAAATTTATGTATTAACCAGGCATGGTGGCAGGTGCCTGTATAATCCCAGCTACTTGGGAGGCTGAATTAGGAGAATCACTTAAACCTGGGAGGCAGAGGTTGCAGTGAGCCAAGATTGTGCCATTGCACTCCAGCCTGTGCAACAAGAGCAAAACTCCATCTCAAAAATAAATATAAAATTTAAAGCAAATGTATTTTATTTTTATTTCCTTAATATTTAAACTTTAGGGAATTAAAATTACATGGATTATTTTAAATTCCTTGTTATATCTTTCAATCATGGTTCCTAACAAAAGAAGTTATAACATCTGCAATACAATTAGATACATGAATTCATGTAAATCAATGTCAAGTTTAAATAAAACAATTACCTAAGTCCAGTCACAATGACCTCAACAGAAAAATAGACTTGCTCCCCTCTCCCACAAAAAAACTTACATAAATTTGCTACAAAAATATTTACATTTGAGTTTATGTCTCCTCTTCAACTGTTACTGTTTCGACCTCTAACCAATATCTGTTTACCAAATCTGCTTGAGGTACGTCTTCACCAATTCTCAATTATTCACTATACTTTTTTCATGACATTGATAGGAATCAGTAGTGAAAATTAGGTACCATTGAGGTGTAGCAGATATCTTATGTGTGAAAAATTGAACTAATTTTTAAAAATGTTTTTTATAAGTGGAATTTGATATAGTAACTAACAGAAATTCCATCTGGCCTCTTAAGTTTTATCAGAATTGTCTATTTGATTCATTTAGTAGCATTGAAATAAAGTTGGATACCAGGAATGAGGTACCAAAAGTTGGGACATCGTTTGGAATGCAATTTTTGTCCTCTCCATTTCAACTTCACTTGTATGATTTTGAATGACTGTATTTCATCATAAAAAATAAAAATCCCAAGGGAGTATATTTCTATGAACTCCTTCTGTACTAAATTTGAACACGAATTTTTAAAGTCAATCCAATACATATCCCCAATTGAAAACAGTGCCTTAACCTCAGTAAAAGGAAGATGAAACTACCTACTTCCACTGTATATTCTACTTTGAGGTCATATTTATATTAGTAGCATCACACTACCCATTTAGTTGTCAAAGAGCTCTTGAAGTCAAAAGAGCTGCTTTTTCTCTTATTAGCAACAAGTTGGTCATCTATGCCAATTGCTCAGAATTGTCTTTCACTTATGTCTGGTTAGGCTCTATTTCTACCGCTACTGTCTTCACTTTGGATATCATCATGTCTTACAACATTTGTCGTAATAACTTTCAAATATTAATTGACTACCAGTCTGGGTACTCTGAAAAGGCTTTAATTACAGCTTGTCTCATATATTAGATTTAACTTTTTACTGTTTATGCTTGAGGAATGAACATTAAAATTATATTAACTCTAATATAATGCCCTACTTTAAGGACAAGGAGATTTGCTGATTTACCTGATATAGTTCTCAGCAACTAACAAAGCTATGCCTCATCTAAGCCCTCACTGACTGAAGGATCTGTTGGATGTTCTTATCTAAATTTATCTGCCTAAGCAACTCTTTGACAAATCTGGTCATCTTTTAAATTCTCATTGTCCTATCAAGACTCAAGTCCTTCAAGTTGTAATATCTTTTATCAAGTCATGCCTTCATAAAAATAGTTTAGTAAACTCTAGTAAAAATGTGTTTATTCTGTCTTAATTTGTGATTTTATTTCAACATATAGACTTAATTCACGATGTTAAATTCTGGTGAATTTATGATTATTTCTATATATTATTTCTTTACATGGTGGAATATATGTTTACTTATAAAATTTTGTTATATAATGAGTATTAGTTTTATTTTCCAAAAGCAATCTAAGACAAAATTAGGAGGTCAGATAGTGTATTAATTTATTCATTGACTAAATTCTTATTGAGCAACTAATAAATGCCAGACGCTCTTTGAGCATTGGAAACAAACTCTCTGCTTTTTGAGCTTATCTTGTAGATGGTATAATAGAGAATAAACAGGTGTGTAATATAATATCTGATGGGTGATTATTGCTATAAGTAATCACGAAAGATGAATGGGATGAGGCTGGACAAGGAGTGCGAGGGTGTGTTGTAGTCAGGAAAGACTCCTCAGAAAACACATTTTGAGCAAATACCTCAGAGAAGTGAATTAGTTATGCAGGAGGTGAAGAAATGATCTCACTTTGTCTTCCTTTTATTGGTAGTAAGGGAATAAATGATTCTAATGGGTATATTATAAAGTCTGTGTGTTATATCCTGAAAAAGACTGTTAGACAGTATTATAGAATGTTATTTTAGTTGTTTATACTTGTTTTTCTTGTTTATGTTAATTTCTTACACTCTTATAAAGCATATAAATATTTAAGACATTCATGGAGACATGAAATTTGTCTTCTTTCATTTGTGCCATAACAGCCTTCTGCATTTTCTAACATTACAGTCTGTACTGTTGCTATGGCTGTCTGCATGTTGCCTCCAAACCCTGAGCTTTCTGAGCACTGAGTACAGTGTGCTGTAGAAAGTAAGACTTACATATTTGCTGAATTGGATGCTCCCCTTTGACATTTTCTGAGATGAAATTATTTTTTTCATGATAGAAGAATTATGAGAAGAATGCAAGTTTTCCTGTTTGAGTAGATCCAAAGGAGTCCCTTGAAAAAAAAAAAAGTTTTGTTTTTTGTTTTTTGTTTGTTTGTTTGTTTGTTTCACTCTGGAGCTACTGTTCTGGACAAAGTGCAGTAGTTTCTCATTTGGTTGAGAGTCCTGCGTGGGCTTCTAATGCCAACATTGTCATTTGCCCATCTGGTTTCCAAAGCATGTGTATACCCTTATCAAAAACACAAAATAACCCTCCAGGCATTACCTGGAATTGCCAGATATCCTATTCCTGACCAAATCTGAATGAGAATGAATACGATTACCTAAGAGACTCACAATATTTAAAATATTATAAAGAACGAGAATACAAAGTATGTACCTAAATTATTTCCAACATGCTCTTGAACAAAGCAGCTAAAATCTGTGACATAGGCTGGGCGCGGTGGCTCACGCCTATAATCCCAGCACTTTGGGCGACCGAGGCGGGCAGATCATGAGGTCAAGAGATCGATACCATCTTGGCTAACACAGTGAAACCCTGTCTCTACTAAAAATACAAAAAATTAGCCGGGCGTGGTGGCAGGCGCCTGTAGTCCCAGCTTCTTGGGAGGCTGAGGCAGGAGAATGGCATGAACCCGAGAGGCAGAGCTTGCAGTGAGCCGAGAGAGTGCCACTGCAGTCTGGCCTGGGCAAAAGAGCAACACTCCGTCTCAAACAAACAAAGAAAAAAATCTGTGACATATATCTCATTTGTACGTATGTGTTTAATTACAATATATGCATGGAACATTTGGCTGCATTCATTTAATTCATCGCAATTTCACCTGGATTGAGATGTGTTTAATTCTCTCAGTTAAGGGATATTATAATAGATGGAATTCAATGTGTATCACTTCAATTGTTGTAAAGCTGTTTTAGAAGATATTCATTATTTCATTCAATGATTACTATGTAAAATGTCGGTGACATTTTTATTTTACAGTATTTTGAAGTTCTTAAAAAAGCATTGTACTTCTTAACACTAGACTTCTTCCTCTTCTATGATCAAATGAAACCTATAAATGATAGGATTCCTTTTTATTTTTTCTTCTAAGATCAAAGACAAGTGTGAAAATCAGATATGGTAACTTCTATTTTTCTGATTTGCCACTTCTATTTATATTAATTGAATCTACTTTTGCTTTAAGCTGTCTCAAAAGTTTTGCACAGAGTAAGACTATAACCTGTAATCCTACTACTTTGGGAGGCTGAAATGGGTAGATTGCTTGAGCCCAGGAGTTCGAGACCAGCCTGGGCAACATGGCAAAGCTCCGTCTCTACAAAAAATACAAAAATTAGCTAGGCACCATGGCATGTGCCTATCTTCCCAGTTACTTGAGAGGTTGAGATGGGAGGATCTCCTAAGGGTGGGAAGCTGAGGCTGCAGTGAGCCAAGGTTGTGCTGTTGCATTCCAGCCTGAGCGACGTAGTGAGACCCTGTCTCAACAACAAAAAAATAATAATATAGATGATTGGTGGCTGGCAAGATGGCCGAATAGGAACAGTTCCAGTATGCAGCTCCCAGCGAAATCAGTGCAGAAGGTAGGGGATTTCTGCATTTCCAACTGAGCCTCCACTGGTGATACTCAGGCAAACAGGGTCTGGAGCTGGATCTACCATTGAAAATGGGGATATCAATGTTGTGATATTAATTTCTAAGAGTATAAAGTAGTTTGCATGAAACCCTGAATGAGGTATCTGAAGTTTCAATGGCAAATTATTTTTTTCTTTAAGCATAAATATCTCAGAAATTCAGAATTATAGGTGTCTTTTATTGTTATCCATGTCTTTTTTATACACTGCTTACCATATGTTACCTGTCTGGCTTCTTTTCAGCTCTCTTACATGTGTTACCTATAAGGCACATATGATTGAGTCTATTCCACATATGAACATAGTAAAACCAAAGTCATAAATTGTCAGAACTTAACTTGATACTCAAGTTTGGCAGTAATTTATGCTATTTGCTTTAATCCATTCTAGCTAAACCAGCTCAGTTAGAAAGATATTGTCTTACTTAGCCTTAGTTCCCTGAAACAGAGCATGAGACAAAGACTTTCATATAAGTAAATAATATTGGACAAAATTTGGGGGAGAAAGGGTCTAGGGAAGAAGAAAGTCAATACAAGGATACACCATTTTAGTTGACCCCTAAAATGAATGACTGATGCTGGATCCTTGGCGAATTTCTGGGGAATTGTATAAAATGTGTCTTAGAATAGGCTGTCTAGAATGAAGGGGAAACACATTTATCATTGGCTCATTTTAACCTTCTCAAGGATAACCCTACAGAATTAATTGCTGGGTCACTTCTAGGTTGCATCAGATCAAGTGTAGAAAAGTTCTCAAGAACATGTCAAGATCACAAAAGTCTTAAGGCAGTGTTGGCCTTAACAGAGGTGCTATTTACTTTTGTCTGCAAAGGCTGTATGAAACCGATGGTTTTATCAGTGGCTGAAGCAAAAGGTGAGGACAGAGGAGTTTGAAGTGGTGCATAAAAATAACACAAGTACCTATTTCATTCTTAAAACACGTCTCTTAAAGTCTATGAAGCAGTTTGTTATGTATTTAATGAATTTGTTTCACATGATTTGAAATTTAAAAAATGAAACCACTGGCATATAGACAAGTGCTGCACCCCTCTCCATTCTTATCAATTAGCATCAACCTAAACTCAAACACTTCAGTATAATTGGATTGGAACTGACCTAACACAGTGGTTTTTTAATGAGGGGGCAAATGGAAAAGTTGACTGAACAGGGCTTTGCTTAACAGTAGTGGAAAGCATCATACATTTTTCCACACCCTGTTTCTTGGTTGAAGGTTTGGCTTAATAGACATTTTCAGCTCTATCATTTATGTAGTCATTACATGCTTTGGCTCAGAATTTCGGCTTCCTTTCACAAAACAGCTGGCTCAAGCAAACTATTTCCTCAAGCTCATGTGCTTTTTTATTAAGAATCTATTGTTCAAATTCATATGCCCCTAGTTTATTTCTTTCCAAAATGAGTTTTTGTGAGCCAAGAGATGAATAGGTAGGTCCTATAACATCATCTGGAAGCCTGTGATGGAGTTTAGTAGCTGACATCAGTGTTGGATTTTATATGGTTGTTTCCACTGCATAAACTCAGTTCAACGACAACAGATAAGTAACTGTTTTTTTCTTTAAAAAGTATAAGATGTCCCTTGTGAAAGTCATTCTCACAAGTTACCTTGTAAACAATTCATTTTTTCCCTCATTGCTGTGGATTTCTCTCAAGTATGGAAACGTGATTTTATCTTTATCTTTTTTTCTTCTTTATACTGAACTTTCCTTTACATAGTCCAGCTCTGACCTGCATACATAGAGAATGGATTGACTAAAAGTAGAACCTAAGATCCTATTTAAAGTGTCAGCAACTTAATTTCACCAAGATATATATGTTAGGGTAGGTTTAAGAAATAGCTCAAGCAAAAATTAGCAAATTATATTGTAATTATTTTCAGAAGAGAAATACAATTAACTCAAAGAAATCAACTAAATTAATGTATTCATTTTGCAAATATGTTTATGCAAGTTTTTTTCATTGGTTTTGTTGTTTTGTTTTGAGATTGAGTCTCACTCCGTTGCCCAGGTTAGAATGCAATGGTGGGATCTCAGTTTACTACAACCTCCACCTCCTGGGTTCAAGCAATCTCCCATCTCAGCCTCCCAAGTAGCTGGGATTACAGGCGTGTGCCACCACGCTGGGCTAATTTTTGTATTTTTAGTAGAGACAGGGTTTCACCATGTTGGCCAGGCTGGGCTCGAACTCCTGACATCAAGTAATCCCCCCTCCTTGGCCTCCCAAAGTGCTGGATTACAGGCTACAGCCACTGTGCCTGGCCACTGTGCAAGTTTTATATTGTTGGATTTTTTACAGAATATTTCTGTACTTTTTTGTTTTCCTGTTGAAATGATCTTTTACTTAAGAATTCAAAATCATATTTATATGATTTTCCTGCCTCTACTAATAAGGAAATGCATCTGAATATCTCTAAAATGTGTATCTCTTATGGTAGGAAAAAACATGGTAGTCCAGTGATGTCCATGTCCTGATCCTGGATACCTGTGAATATCCTGCCTTACATAGTAAAGAGAATTTACAAATGTAGTTAAGGATCTTCAGAGGGAGAAAGGGAAAGAGAGAGAGAGAAAGATTGTGAGATTATCCTGGGTTATCCAAGGTCTCAGTGTATCACAAGGGTCATATAAATGAAAGAGGAAGGCTGGAGTGTCACATGAGAGATATGACAATGGAAGCAGAGATCTGAGTGTGGAAAGGCCACAAAACAAATAATGTGTGCAGGTTCTAGAAGAAGAAAATGCATGGAAATGAACACTTCCCTAGAACCTCCAGGAGTAAAGCCATAGCAATCCAGTTTAGATGTCTGACCTCTAAAACTGTAAGATAATAAATGTTTTAAGCCACCACATTTGTGGCAATTTGGTATAGCAGCAATGAGAAACTAATACATACCAACTCAAAGACTCTGGAATTTCCCAAGGGGTGCTCCACTGGTACCTACAGAAAAGGTTCCTGTTTTCAGTTCTCCCAACTCTGACTATATCAATTTCAGCTGAATCTATTTGGTACCTGTGCCACTCTTCCATTATATACAATAGTGTCTGCTGCTCCCTGATGCTGCTTGGGCATGTTACTGTGTGCTTTAAACATGAAAACATGTCAAGAAATACATACTTGACCTAGTACTTCTCTATTTTCCTTATATTCCACTGAGTATGCTCCCTCTTTTCTACTGGGAGAGAGAATACACTCCTTCTCCCGTCATTCTATGAGCAAATATAGGGGCACATAAAGTCTATTTGCTCACAGAATTACTGCACTTCTTTGATGGACAACGCTGAGCTCAAGATGGAACTGATCAGAGAATATTCTTTCTTAAACTTCTGCTCCTTTGTCTGACATTTATCTGGCGCCACATAGAAAGTAAATATGATCTTTTTCCCATATGAGTGTGTCCATCATATATGGTGGTATAAATTCGTGTCCCCACATTAACATAGTTGCTCTCTCTAAGCATGCTTTAGTTTATCATTACTCATCTTAAAGTAAGACAATGACAACAAAAGACACCACAAGTATAGTCTAATCCACACAAAACAGAAAGGTGCTATTATCTCCATTGTTCTGAACCACAAAATCCTGTTAATATTGCAAGGTTAAACATTCATTTATGTGATTGATGAAATCAGATTGAATTTGAAGTGACTGACTCCCGTAATGAATATTCAAATTTTTATGAATATTAAGATTTTCACTAGTTCTATAATTCTGTTTTGCCATATCCTGGTACTTAGAAGAATGTCCAATATATTCAGAAAATATTTGATGCCATTTCTTCCTCTATTGAGAAGTTACCAAATCTCTCCTATGCTTCTAATTTCCTTCTGACACAATCAATAAATTGAATATATAATTGTTAATTAAGTAGAGTGATGATCAAAGTGCTGATTTGCCTTATGCCTTGTCAATATAATTAATTACATGAATTAAATTGAAATATTTCTTATAATGAGAAATTATTTAATATTAAGGATTAAGCAAAATACTGATTAACAGGAGTAGTGTAAGTTGATGTTTTCATAATTGATTTGTATGTTTAAATTATTTGATTTAATACTTCATTCGTTGAAAATATTTGACCAATATTTACAAAGTTTTATACAAATATGTGTTTATTGACAATAGGACAATCAGTTAAAATTTTACTATGGAATTCACAATTCTGTATTTTTCATTTAATTAGAACATTTTAGAAACAAATGTAATTGTTTTTTTAATAATAAGGCTCTATGAACATATGTTTAATATTTTTTACACATTTAAAAATGTTGGGAAATAATTTCTCTCTGTATGAATATCCACACATTATGGATGAGGAATCTGTAAGCTCAAATGTAAAAAAGCCACTCCCGAATAATAATACCAGGACAATTACAGAGGGCTTATGATTTGTATGCCTTTGTTCACTATCAACATAATCTTGTTGAATTTCAGTTTTAAGCTAAAACTGTACGACTATGAGGTTATTGTCTTGCTTTATTTTTGTTTCTCTTAAGAGGTATGGCAGATTTCTAATTAATGGAAGATTTTTATTACTAAAATTCAGGATAACTGAAATTTACCTGATTAATAGTGTTCAATAATATATTGCTGATGTTTAAGTGCAATTTTCCAAATAGTACTTCTGCTGAGGAGACAAACACATAACTAAGTTTTTTTGTGAAGTTAGCCATAAACATCTAAATATTGTACTCAGCAGGTCATATCTGAGAGTGCACTGTATGTACTCAACTAGAGTTTGACGATTTTATAGTTGTCAAAAATGTAGGCCTACTTTGAGACTATTAGAATATTTTTGTTTTTCTACTTTTAGGAGTATTCTTTGAATTCCTGCTCTGATAAATTCTGTTCATTCAGTACAATTTCTAAGTAAAACGACATTGGTTTTTAAGGCTTTCTTTTTCTATCTTACATTTCCTGAAATTTAAAGATTGTAACAGTAACTTACCATTATTTTTTATAATTCTTTTTCTCGTCCCATGAATTCTTTTTGCATAGCAGTTTGAGGGAGACAATGGAAGAGGGAGGAAGATAAACTTGGAAGTATTGATATTTTCTTCACCTATGCATGCAAATATAAAAATGGAATTAAACTTCAAAACTATTTTAATTTATAATATCAAAATTATATTGATTCCTTTTATTTTCATATATATTTTTAATACTTAGTGTAGTGACTCAGTACAGATTCTAAAGACAGACTAGCTGAGAGTGAGCCATGACTCCACCATTTTTTTTTTTTTTTGCTGCTTGACCAAGTAGGTCAACCCCTCTTTGCCTAAGTTTGCATATCTGTAAAATAAAGATAAAAATAATACCCAAATGACATGTCAATGTTGAAACTATTAAATTTTTAATATATTTAAGCTCCTTGAAACTGTATCTAGCACATAGTAAAATACTTCATAGCCATAGGCTACTTTTTGAAAAAATATGAAGTTAAAAATTAAATGAAATAATTATGTGTGTCAACTCAATACTTGGAAAGTTCTGGAACATAGCAGCCTAAAGAAAGAATAAAGCATCCAAAAGTTTTATTTAATTTTATTTTTCATTACCCATATTCTGGTCCCTACAATATATACATACATTTATAGTTTTTTGAAATCAATCTTATAACAGCAGGCAAAATCAAAATAATGAACTGAACATTGCATTCTATAAATTGGCATTAAAAGAAAGAGAAAAAGGAAAGAGAAGGAAAAACATAAGAAATCTGCAAATGTATAAATACTAAGACAAAAGTAACTCACAGTAACAACAACTTTAATCCCATCTAATAATGGTAGCATTGGAATGTTTTCAGTTTTTATATTAAACTCTCACATCTTAATTTTATAATATTTGTGTAATGTTTGTAAATCAAAATTGTATCTTTATTATATTCTGTGTAAATAAAAAGTGTGCTCTTTTTAGCCAAGAAACTCCAAATTATTTCTATATAAATTTGGAAGAAAACATAGGTAATATTTAACCATTAGAAAAAATAGTATTTAAATATCTTTAATGGCAAGTTACTTTAACAATTCTAGATAATCCATTCATTTGTATTTTGTTTATATAAAATGTACATAAAATAACAACTACAGTAAATCTTCTGAACTAGCATCCATTTAATAAACTCACCAGAATAATTGCCATACCACACTTTCCCCTGAAAACATACAGACTAAAGCCCTTGACATACTGACAACTCACTTTTATCGCTATCACTTTAAAACTTTATCACTATCACTATCACAACTCACTATAAAAACAAAACTAAACTAAACAAGAGTCCAATTGGAGATAGGTTGATAAGGCAAGTAGTTTTAAGAATAATATCAACAAATCAGTTTATTAGCTATGAACAAAGTCAAAATTGGGATAGGTGAGAATAATATTTAAGAGGATAACATTACATTCTTATTGCTAATGAAGGAAATTGAAACTGAAATTTGTAGACAATATATTTAATAGTGCAGATTATCAGAGAAAAAGAAAATATTAGAGCCCTGTATTAAATGATTGTCAAATTGCTTTTTATATTTATGTTCAATTAAAATATTACATATTTATGTGACATTTTGTAATTCTCACCTTGATAAATGGTATTGATTAACGAAGCAAGAATCATTCCCAATTATTTTGTATAAAGGGGTTTCTGTTAAATCTAAAATGTGCAGGAAAATTCCACAGCTGGGTATTACATAAATAATTTTAGAGTTTTTTTTCTATACAACAGTATAATATAATTTTAGAATCAGGGAGTAGCAGTACATTTTTAGATGCTAAAATGTAAAAGAACTAAGGTCAACCGACCTCACTTTTAATGCATGTATTAATGCTGAATTTTGTTTACTGTTTCTAAATAGCAGATAAAATAAATAGAAACCCTGAGATATTCCATAACATTTCTTTTCATAAATAATTAGGGTTTTTGATTGCTAGAGTATGTCTTTAAAATCACATATCTATTTTTTATTTACGTTTAGTTTCAGCTTCTTTCTCCCCAGGTTATACCTTCCTTTCCCATCTTCTTTCTCAGTTGGTTGGTATCCATCTTTGATTATCCTTCTAATGGTCAGTAGACAAAGATTGTAATTTTAGATATTATAATCAACTATGACCACATCCAGAAAAAAAATACAATGTAACTTATTTTTGTCTATTTTATAAGTATTAGGTAACCACACATTGCACCCCAACCCTCTATCTCCACAAACATCTCCACACATTTATTTGGCAGAAAATGTGTCAACAGATTATTCGAAATTTATCATTTTCCAGAGCAATGAGAATGATTTGATTTAGACTAATTTAAATTTATTATTGTGATGGAGATATGAACACTTGTTGATCTATGGATCTAAGGAACTATGCTGGTTGTTATCAATAAAACTGATGGAATATTTTGCGTGTAGACCGCCAACAATACCTATTAAAATAGAGGGCACTTACCTTAGCAACCTATTCTTGAAATTCTTATTTGATTTAATTAAACCAAAGCTCAAGTAATGTTGAAGTGATGCAGGTTCTATATGGAATAATCTCAGCTAACAAAAAGGAAGAAATCTAAAGGGAATGTAAAAGAGACCAAAAAATAATCTAAACAAGTATTTAACATTTCTGGGAAGGATGGATGATGAAACAGAATACTATTTGACAGGCAGTTCTATTCTGTAAGCAGGTAATGCATATTCAGAAGTACTGCTCAGTACATAAGATCAGAAAAGGATGGATCTTAGGACAGTTTTCACAACTCCTCTGATTTAAATAGGGAACGAGTCACCATACATTAGCACACAGTTCCAGTTAAATAAGGGATCTTGAAGTTGCTATTTAAAATCTGGAAACAGGCAAAGGAGAGCAAGGAAGAAACTTAAATGTTTGACTGCTGGTAATGAAAAGGCTAGTAATCTTACTGATTTATAGTAAAGACAAAAGTTAAGGAATAAGCAATATGGATATGACACTGAGCAAATTGAGATCTTTAAGTGATCTCTAATAAGGGACACAACAGATTGAAAAATCTGGATTAGAAATGAATCTGAAACTTGGGGTTATATGACCATAACTATGAGAAAAAATGACTTGAAGAAAATCCTTGATAGTCCAGAAGATAGTGCCTGAAATGGTGAGAGAAAATGATAGGTATAGGTTAGAGAAGAAAAGCTCAGAAAATTTTCAGCCTTAAATATAAAGACACATGCACACGTATGTTTATTGCGGCACTATTCACAATAGCAAAGACTTGGAACCAACCCAAATGTCCAACAATGATAGACTGGATTAAGAAAATGTGGCACATATACACCATGGAATACTATGCAGCCATAAAAAATGATGAGTTCATGTCCTTTGTAGGGACATGGATGAAATTGGAAATCATCATTCTCAGTAAAATATCGCAAGAACAAAAAACCACCGCATATTCTCACTCATAGGTGGGAATTGAACAATGAGAACACATGGACACAGGAAGGGGAACATCACACTCTGGGGCCTGTTGTGGGGTGGGGGGAGGGGGGAGGGATAGCATTGGGAGATATACTTAATGCTAGATGACGAGTTAGTGGGTGCAGCGCACCAGCATGGCACATGTATACATATGTAACTAACCTGCACATTGTGCACATGTACCCTAAAACTTTAAAGTATAATAATAATAAATAAATAAAGAAAAAAAGGCTTATTGGTTTAATTCTGGATAACTTATTTGGAAACACTGAAAAAATGATGGTGATAGAAAGGCTTATGACATACACACACATAAACATACACACATTTGTTTCTTCCAAGTGTAATTTCTCTTTAAAGGTACATTTGGGTTCTTTGGATAGTAGCGTTTATAAACCGATTTTGGAGAAACTTCATTTTTTACAATATTGTAAAGTGTATTAGTGTACTATATATTTTACAGGAGATTTTCCTAAAAGATGCTTGAATAGACTTTTGACAAACACCAATTACATAATACATTCATAGCACATGAGTTCCACCCCATAATAGAGTATGATGTAATTGCAAGATTTGTCCTCTCCTTCAGACAAATAACAATTTGAATAATTAAGTAAATTATAAATATATTTACTTAATAATTATATATTTACTTATGTATATTTTATATATTAAGTATATAGTATGCATATTATATATAAGTTAATATATATTTACATATTTACTTAATAATTTGAACAATTAAATATATTCATAAAGTAAATTTTCACTCTTAAACATTGTTACTTAAGCAAAATTAAAAATTTTTACATGTTTTGGAAACAATTTTTATTATATTCATATTAGTTACTTTAAATATCCTATTATAAAACTGTACTACTCTGGGAAATTTGCACATAGGACCATTCATATTTATCTTAAAACATTAAAAAATGAAAATGCAACTTGATACAAAATAAAATATATAAAATAAATAAAATTAATATACTACAGTGTAACAATTGTAATACAAAAAGAATATATCTAGCACTTTTAAAATAAAGTATGAAAACATCATTTATTTTTCTCCTTACATCAGGTGTCAATATAGTTATTGGGAATTGAAGATGATTTACAATTCTAAATTTTCTGACATTCTAAGAATAGTGACGACCGAAGGGCTCTTAGATGTCAATAATCTTTTAGTACACACCACCACCACCCTGGCCACAAAAAAGCAAATCAGAGAAAATTGTAGGGCCATTGTTTACAGGCATAGCAATGGCCTAGGCGCTGCCACAGAAGAGTTCTGCTTGATAGCACTGTACCATCTTGGCTCCTGACCGGAACACACTCAGATCCTTCTTGCCTATGTGAGGTGATCACAGAGAATGGGACACAAGTGAACGAAGGAGCCCAAAACTGGCAGATACACAAGCAAGAGATGTTGAGCAGCAGCCATGCCAAAGAGAAAGCTGCACAGAACCAGAGACAGAGAAGGAGAGAGATTTACTGTATCAGAAGGAGCAGTTACGGTGACAAGCAGACAGGACTTCTGAGTCACCATAACAGCAGAAGTAAGGTTGCTGGAGCAGGAAGCAATGTGCTCTGCCTGCTGAGGAAACAAGAGGATGGCCAGATCATCCAGTGGCCCCAGAAGTTACTGCTGCAACTTGAGAGCTGCTTTGTATCCAGATGATAATCCTGACTTCCTCCAAATTTCAACGTGAGACAGTCAAAGCCATGTTCTCTTTTTTGTTATGCTCTGATAATAAATCCTTATCAACTGAAACAACTTTTATGTGAGTCTGATTCTTGCAGCCTAAAAAAGTAATACATCAATATTTAATTATTTGTGATCCACACCTTTCCTCATATGACACAAGAAAAATTTTAACTAAAAAACTGTAAACACTAAAGATGTTAAAATAGAGATTGCAAAATTCAAGTTAGGAAGGAACATATTTTTACCAACTTAAGGGCTAATCTCATTTCTAAATTTAAACACTGTAAACTGTAAACGTCTGGCAAGCAGAGCAAACAACAGACGTCTGATGAAGTAAGAAAGTCTATAGAATTCTTATTATCTCATAAAAAACAGTATTTTTGATTCAAAAAAGGCACCATTTTTGCTTATAGTAACTTTTCAGGTGCAATATGATCTTATACAAGCAGCATTAAATCAAAGGTGTAAGTGATGTCTTTAACAGAAAGTTTATAGTAAATCCAGAAGTTCTCTAAAACGATCTTTTCCTGTGATCATCCGTGATAAAAGACAAGGAAATTGTATGAAAACCACATTGTCTGTTTTCAATTCTCCCTTTATTTTGGCCGCCCATCCTATTGTCTTTAAAAGGTATTTTGGAACACATATTTTTTTCCGTATTTAAATGTTGAACAAGGCTATGCTTTATATTGTTATACCTTCATTTCCTAGTTTTAAGTTACTTAATAAAATTTGCCTAATCTCCTGACTCATACTTTTGTTCCTCTGCCTAAATGTGAGTTGCCTATGCCAGCATATTTTCTCTCAGACATTTCATTTCCCATGTTTTAATATACAGATCTAGCTCCCTCAGAAAGTCATTGTCAAAAAGAAACAATACTTCAAACTGTGCAATTTAAGATGTCCAATATATCAAAAATAAAATAGCACAACTAAAAGGATGATACAAAAATAAATCAACTAAGATATTAAGGACAATGCAAACATTCTGACAGATGATACAAATTATGCATTACTGATTTCTTTAGTAAAAGTCTAATGCATTTACTAATTTCTTTACTAAAAGTCTAATGCATATCTCCAAAATTGTCACTTAAAGATTTCCATTTAAATTATAAAAAGTCTCTTTAAGGACAGGTAATGATAATTCTTTGGTTTTTAGTGCAGCCATAAGTGGTGTCAAAGTCTAAGAAACTGTTGTAATTAGAAAATGTCTCTTTTTCTTATTTTAGCTGTAAGTTTCCAACCCTCTTACTACCCAATTTGGGTGCTAATATCTGATTTCCAATGAGTCTTTATGAAGTTTGATGTACTGGGTATGGGCTGAGCGTGATGGTTAATTTTAGGTATCAGCTTAACTGGGTTAAGGGATACTCAGATTGTTGGCAAATAATTATTTCTGGGTATGTCCGTGAAAGTGTTTCTAGAAGAGACTGGCATTTGAATCATGGGCTGACTTAAGTCATGTGGTTTGGCTGTGTCCCCACCCAAATCTCATCTTAAATTATAGTTCCCACAATCCCCACAGGTTGTGGGAGGGACCTGATGGGAAGTAATTAAATCATAGGGGCGGTTACCCCTATGTTGCTGTTCTCATGATAGTGAGTGAATTCTCATGAGATTTGATGGTTTTATAAGAAATTTTCCCTCTTTGCTCAGCACTTCTCCTTCCTGCCATCATGTGAAGAAGGATGTGTTTGCTTCCCCTTCTGCCAGGATTGTACGTTTCCTGAAGCCTCCCCAGCCTGCAGAACTGTGAGTCAATTAAACCTCTTTCCTTTATAAATTACCCAGTCTCAGACAGTTCTTTGTAGCAGCATTAGAATGGAATAATACAGTAAGGAAGATCAATTCTCACCTACTGTAAGCATGGCCACCAAAAGAGGCCTTCTTTTTTTTATTTTTGCATTTAATTTATTTTTAATTATACTTTAAGTTCTGGGGTACTTGTGCAGAAAGTTCAGGTTTGTTACATAGGTATACACGTACCATGGTGGTTTGCTGCAATCATCAACCTGTCATCTACATTGGGTATTTCTCCTAATGCTATCCCTCCTCTAACCCCCACCCCCTGACGGCCTCAGTGTGTGATGTTCCCCTCCCTCTGTCCATGTGTTCTCATTGTTCAACCCACACTTATGAGTGAGAACATGTGGTGTTTCGTTTTCTGTTCTTGTATTAGTTTGTTGAGAATGATCATTTCCAGCTTCATCCATGTCCCTTCAAAGGACATAAACTCATCCTTTTTTATGGCTGCATAGTATTCCATGATGTATATGTGTCACATTTTCTTTTTCCAGTCTATCATTGATGGACATTTGGGTTGGTTCCAAGTCTTTGCTATTGTGAACAGTGCTGCAATAAACATACGTGTGCATGTGTCTTTATAGTAGAATGATTTAAAATCCTTTGGGTATATACCCAGTACTGGGATTGCTGGGTCAAGTGGTATTTCTGGTTCTAGATCCTTGAGGAATTGCCACGCTGTCTTCCACAATGGTTGAACTAATTTACACTCCCACCAACAGTGTAAAAGCGTTCCTATTTCTCCACATCCTCTCCAGCATCTGTTGTTTCCTGACTTTTTAATGATTGCCATTCTAACTGGTATGAGGTGGTATCTCATTGTGATTTTGCTTTGCATTTCGCTAATGACCAGTGATGATGAGCTTTTTAAAATTTGTTGGTTGGCTGCATAAATGTCTTCTTTTGAGAAGTGTCTGTTCATATATTTCACCCACTTTTGGAAGTGGTGGTTTTTTTCTTGTAAATTTGTTTAAGTTCTTTGTAGATTCTGTATATAAGCCCTTTGTCAGATGTATAGATTGCAAAAATTTTCTCCCATTCTGTAGGTTGCCTGTTCACTCTGATGATAGTTTCTTTTGCTGTGCAGAAGCTCTTTAGTTAAATTAGATCCTATGTGTCAAATTTCCCTTTGAAGAGGCCTTCTATAGGGCAATATTCACCGGATCACTCTGTGGGGCCATCATGGCCCTAAGTAGATCAATGGCCAGTGGAACTATGGGGGTGAGGCCACCTCCAAGACCCAGACCAGTAGAGTCAACAGTGTACAACAGAGAGCCACAGGCATGTAATCTAACCCACAAAAGCTGCACTGTGGGTAGCTTGAAGCCTTGGGGACCAAATCTAATCCCAGTGTGTCCAAATGGCAGAACACTAAGTCAAAAAATATTTTTCTCAAGCCTTAAGATTTAATGTTAATTGCTTTTTGGGATTTGAACTTATTTAGGACCAGTTACTCCTTTCTTCTTTTCTATTTTTCCCTTTTAAAATGGGAATGTTTATCTTATGTCTGTTCCACCATTATATGTTGAAAGCAAATAACTTGTTGGATTTCATGGATTCATGGCTGGAAAGCAGTTTGCCTCAGGATATATATTATACCTTGAGTCTCACCCATATCTGATTTGGATGATGTTTGGATGAGACTCTGGGTTTTAGACTGTTGAGTTGAGTTGATGCTGGGACAAGTTAAATCTTTGGGGGTATTGGGATGGAATGAATATATTTTATAGGTGAGAAGGACATGAGTTTTGCGAGGCCAAAAGCAAAATGCTGTGGCCTGAATGTTTGTTTCCCCTCAACATTTATATTTTGAAGCCTAACCTACAAGGTGAAGATATTAACAAGTGCAACTTTTTGGAGGTGATTGAGTGATAAGAACTCCACCCTTATGAATGGGATTAGCACACTCATCAAAGAGGCCTGGTGGAGCATGCTTGTTTTTTCCACCATGTGAAGACATATAGAAGGTTCTATATACAGCAGAGTGCCCTCACCAAACACCACATCTGCTGGCACCTTGACCTTATACTTCCCAGCCAGCCAGAACTATGAGGAATACATTTCTGTTTTTTATAAATGACCCAATGTAAGGTATTTTGTTACAGCAGCCCACATGCACTAAAACAGTGAGACTTAGGGGTGAGGAATTAGAGAATTACTATTGTTCTTCAGGCTGCTATAAACGAAGCTGAGGAAGTGATTCACAATGTGGTTTTCTTAAAAAATTGGTATTTTTGCTGGACAAGCCCTCCTAAAGAGTAGTCAGTCTGAAAGAGATGGCAGAAAGGGAGGTCTAGATATAACGCTTTTAGTATAGTTTTGGGGAAAGCTAAAAGATGAGAAAAGGAATTGGAACGCGGAGTAACATTTACTTTTTTTGGTGGCAAAAAAAGAGAAATGTTGAAGAATGTCATTAATCATGGGCAGAAATAGCAGTTAAAAGCACAAACTTAATGTAAACAACAGGGGTGAGAGGAGAGTTGCTTGATTTGAAACCTCTAGGAGATTAAGGAGTAACTGACTCTTAAAACTCACCTAAAACATAGATTTTTGACAATTCAGGGCTGTTGATGCTTTACTTATATCTTCAAATCAGAATGTGTCCAGTTGGTTTGGTAAGCAGCAGCCCTTATACCTAGAGAAAATAAACATATGTTTCAATAATGTCTTATTTAATACAACATTATGGGCTGAGTAGTAAACAGTTTTATAACATGCTATAATTAAAGGTTTTTAAGTTCTTAATTTTTTACAGTGCTTATGATAATATAACTTCTTAATTGCTACCTTCCTCACATGTAAAGCTGTCTTAGTTTAAAAATGAAAGCAATTACTGAAAGTTGAAATAGAAACATATTAAATATATCCTATACACAAAACATCCACATTAACAGTTTAGTATTTTTTCTTTAGAATTCTGTCCAGAATTGGTTCCTTCTGGTGGGTTCTTGGTCTCGCTGACTTCAAGAATGAAGCCGCGGACCCTCGCAATGAGTGTAACAGTTCTTAAAGATGATGTGTCCAGAGTTTGTTCCTTCAGATGTTCAGATGTGTCCAGTTTCTTCCTTCTGGTGGGTTCGTGGTCTTGCTGACTTCAAGAGTGAAGCCGCAGACCTTTGCAGTGAGTGTTACAACTCTTAAAGGTGGCTCGTCCGGAGTTGTTTGTTCCTCCCAGTGGGTTCATGGTCTCGCTGACTTCAGTAATGAAGCCACAGATCCTCGTGGTGAGTGTTATAGCTCATAAAGGTAGTGTGGACCCAAAGAGTGAGCAGCAGCAAGATTTATTGTGAAGAGCAAAAGAACAAAGCTTCCACAGCATAGAAGGGCACCTGAGCAGGTTGCTGCTACTGGCTTGGGTGGCCAGCTATTAGTCCCTTATTTGGCCCCGCCCGCATACTGCTGATTGCTCCATTTTATGGAGCGCTGATTGGTCCATTTTACAGAGTGCTGATTGGTCCATTTTACAGAGTGCTGATTGGTGTGTTTACAATCCTTTAGCAAGACACAGAGTGCTGATTGGTGCATTTTTACAGAGTGCTGATTGGTGCATTTACAATCCTTTAGCTAGACACAGAGCATTGATTGGTGCATTTTTACAGAGGGCTGCTTAGTGTGTTTACAATCTTTTAGCTAGACACAGAGCGCTGATTGGTGCATTTAGAATCCTTTAGCTAGACACAGAGTGCTGATTGGTGTGTTTTTACAGAGTGCTGATTGGTGCATTTACAATCCTTTAGCTAGACACAGAGTGCGGATTGGTGTATTTTTACAGAGTGCTGATTGGTGTGTTTACAATCCTTTAGCTAGACACAGAGTGCTGATTGGTGTCTTTTTACAGAGTGCTGATTGGTGTGTTTACAATCCTTTAGCTAGACACAGACTGCTGATTGGTGCATTTACAATCCTTTAGCTAGACACATAGCGCTGATTGGTGCATTTACAATCCTCTAGCTAGACAGAAAAGTTCTCCAAGTCCCCACCCGACCCAGAAGCCCAGCTGGCTTCACCTCTCAGAATTAAAATAATTTTTTTTTTTTTTTTTTTTTTTTTTAAGATAGTCTTGCTCTGTCACCCAGGCTGCCAGGCTGGAATTCAGTGGCGCGATCTCGGCTCACTGCAAGCTCTGCCTCCTGGGTTCACGCCTCAGCCTCCTGAGTAGCTGGGACTACGGGTGCCTGCCACCACACCTGGCTAATTTTGTTTTTGTATTTTTAGTAGAGATGGGATTTCACCATATTAGTCAGTATGGTCTCAATCTCCTGACCTCGTGATCCGCCCGCCTTGGTCTCTCAAAGTGCTGGGATTACAGTCATGAGCTACTGTGCCCAGCCAAAATTACAACTTTTTTAGCAGGTCGTGGTTTTATTTTCTTCATACCTTTTGATATTCCCATAATTTATCTTTTTCTAATTTTTCTGCTTTTTTTCTTGTCTAGGAAATATTTGTTGACAAACGCATTTGCTATATCCAACAGTGCCTCCTTATCCTTGGGGAATATGTTCTGTGAACCCCCGTGGATGCCTGAAACCATGAATAGTACTGAATCTTAAACACTATGTTTTTCCTATGCATACATAGTTAAGATAAAGTTAATTTATAAATTAGACACAGTAAGAGAATAACAGCAATAAATAATAATAAAAGATCAACTATAACAATATACTTTAACAAAAGTTATGCAAATGTGTTCTCTCTCTCTCTTTCTTTTTTTCCCTCAAATATCTTATTGTGCTGTACTCATTTATTTTCATGCTGTGGTTGACCACAGGTAACTGAAACCTTGGAAATTGAAACCATGAATAAGCGTGACTACTGTATATACCGTATATATGGGGGATCTTACAATAGCCTGAAGGTATTGCCTAATCAAATTTCCAGACAAATGGCTTCCATCCATTCAAGCCCAAGGCCATGAAGATGCAATAAAAATAAAACAGACTGCAGCCACGGTCTCCCTTACTCAGAAATAGTTTCTCTCACTCTTACTTAGGCTTTCTTTCCAACCGACCTCAAGTTCACCTAGGCTGTATCAGAGTCTTCCCACCTGACTTGCTCTGCTCTCCAACTCTTTGATTCCTTTGTATGATCTTTGTTATTATACAAAGTGACCAAGCAATTGAACATACACAATTATTAAGATATTTTTGGTAGTGATTTTGGCATAAATGTAGCAGATAGTGAGAATAGGTCTCTTCTACCACAACTTTGCTACCATGGTGTGATAAAATCAAGTCTCAGACAGGAGGCCACCATAAATACTATCGTTTCTTAAATATCACTTAGTAGCAGCACAAAATTGCTTTTCTGTGATCTCGGTGACTTTCCAGATCTCTCTCTCACTCTTTTTTTTTTTTTTTTTTTTTAGGATCTGTTTCTCTGACCCTAACTAAAAACAAAACTAACAATATTCCAGTGGCAGCATTCATTATAATATTGAATATTATATCTATGAAATATTGTAATTATACATTCAGCATAGGGCAATCTAAATTCCCCAAACATGTCAGTTACCATGCGCTATTTAAGGAAAGATACAAAAGAAGAGATTACTAACTTTTCAAAGCTTGTTCATCAAAATGTTAAAGCTCTGTCTTCCTAGAATATTTTAATCAGCCTATTTATTTGGATGCCAGTAATGTTGCCAATGAAAGCACATTTCTCACGTTTGTTATGCCTCCAGTGGTAGTCAGAGAAAATGATATCTGAAGATATCTCTGAAATGCAAACTTTTGACTGACGTTCTCAATGTATGCATTGCTGCTTTGGATGTATCTCCACCTCTGGCAGAGAAGATGAGAACTTACACATGTTCATCTTTTTGCAAGTCCACATTGAAGTATTTTCTAGTAAAGTACCACTTATTTAGTAGTTGTTCAGACTTTAAAATAATCTCTCTCTAGAATTCAGCTTCCTGCATATTTCCCTCAACATTGAAATGTATGGGATACTGGCACATTCTATTCTGCTTAGGACTCCTGCCTGGCTTGGAAGGAAGGATAAGATGGAAAGAGATTGTGGTTGAGATAGCTGGTGATCACCAGATCTGTTTATCCTCTTATTTCTGGGAATATGGGCAAACTTTCCAGTCCCCCTTGCAATTAAGTTATAGCCATGCAACTAGCCAAGGAGCTGTGAGTGGAAATTGCAGTTGTAAAGTTTTTGAGCCTTTTTCTCTTTTTCTGATAGCCACTGTTTCTGACACCTTTCAAGAATTACTAAGACAGCAAAAAGTTTCAGTTATATATGTTCATCAGTATTAATTGCTACATTTATTTCACCAATTACTTTTGTTCTACATTTTTTAAAAACTGGTTTATTTTCTTCTCCATTGTGCTGAAGCAAAAACAATTTCAACTGGAACAAGCTTTTGCTTGAAATAAATTCATAATGACAATTTGCTGACTCTTGGATATAAAAACTATTACATGATACCTCAGGAGTTAGAACATGAGTATTGTACAGAATCTACGAATTTCATCAGGTAACTTCTCCAGTATTCCAGTTATCATGCTTCTCCTAAGGCAACTTTACATCTGTATAATAGTTATAATAAGATATTTTACTTTAATATCATAGGATTGATGGACACACACACATAGATATAAAATTATAAAAACTATATAGTCCCAGTTTTTTCAATACTTCTACAAGGCAACAGGTAAGTCAGGGAAATCTACAGAAGTCATAATATCTAAAGTAAATGTTTTTTACAGCAAATATTCATTGGATATCTATATGTGCAATAATCTGAAATCGCTTTTTTGTTTAAGATTTTGCTCAGTCTCACCCTAGAATTAAATTATGGAGCCCAAAAAATGTGCCACCAAGTATGTACAGTGTCAATTATGTTCTCATTTAGTTTTAATAATTTCCAGGCACGTGAGTGTTGAGTGCCAGTCACAACAGAAATAGGTTTTGTGGGCAAATGATTGATCTTGGAGCCAGATTCTTGAGGAGAACCAAGAAAGAAATAAAACCTTATTTTATTGATATCTCTTATTTTTCATATTATTCCAGTATTGGATTTTAATTTTTAATGCTTATGGTAAGCACTTATTTATCAATTTTACTGGCTCTCTAGCTTTCCCAGAACTATTTTTTCTTTATTTTGCTTATTTTTAGAGCAAAAAAAATTTTTAGATTTGATATGTGGGCACTGAATGTCCAAAGGACTTAATACGAACACAACAAAAATATTCCATACATGAAATTTGTTTTACTTGAGGTTTTTTGTTTGGGTTATTTACTTTTTTTTTCTGATAATTTTCTTGGAAAAGGAGCATGAGATGTGAAAATTTGAGGAAGTAGCTTGTCAAATGATGTTTTTTATGCCCTCTTCATTTATAAGTAGCTCGATATATACTTCTAGATTTACTATATATTTATTTAGAATGTTTGGGTTTTATATTTCCTAAAACATACTTTTATGATATTTTTAAGAAATCATCTTTTTCTGTTTTCTGTCTTTTGGTTCTGTTCTTCTATTTCTTTAACTTCCATTTATTTTGGCAGTTTTGACTGTCTACATTGATTCTATTCCCTACAATTTCCTTTCTCAAGTTTATTTGTTCTCACTCATATTTTTCATGTTAGAACTTTTCCTTGAATGTTTGGTGATTAATGGCTTCCGTTAATCAATAAGACATCAAAGGTTGAAATAAAGCTCTTATAAGTCTTGACAGGGCTTCCGACTGGTGGAAGCTATGACCTGAATGTTTGTGTCTCCCTTACTGCCCCCAAATTTGTATATTGAAATCCAAGGTGATGGTATTAGGAAGTAGTGCTTTGGATAGGTGTTTAGCATATGAGGGCACAGGTCTTGTGAATAGGATTATAGGATTCTTATGAAAGAGATCTCAGAGTCGTAGCTGGCCTCTTGTACATGTGAAAACACAGTGAGATGATGCTATCTACAAATCAGAAAATGAATCTTCGCCAAACAAGGAATTTGATGGTACCTTGATCCTGGGCTATCCAGCCCCCAGAATGGTGAAAAATAAATTTCTGTTTATAATCCACTTAGTTTATGGTATTTTGTTACAGCAGCCAGAAATGGACTGAAACAGTGGCTGTCCTTACATGATTTTTGGGCAAGTACACACACACTTCTTTGAAGGATCTGCAAATATAAGTATCTGTATAATCATTTTGGGTAGCTAGATTATCCAAGGGAACAATATACCAATTTTCAGTCTGGAAGGTAAAATCCTGCCTGTTGTTTTGAGAGCTTAGGGGAAGCAGTTGACAATGGTTTTCATCCTCAATTGACTGTCCTTTAATAAGGTGATTATTGCTGCTCTCAGCTAGGATTGGTGACTATAATTTGTTTTGTTTCAACTTCCCATAGAATGCATCTCTCACCCTTGGCTAGAAGGGAGAAGAGTTAGTGGCCTAGAGTAAGGCCTGGGCAACAACATTTCTGGTTCCTTTTCATCAGTTCTTCCATATTAGATACACCTTCTGCATGTGTGTGCATTACAGGTATCTCGTGTCTCTAATTACTCAGCATTTGGGGCAGGGTTCTAAAGAGGGAATTATTAACTTTGTTGGCATCTCTCCTTTAAAATAGGTTTAGATTTCAATTTTATGTTAATTTCAATAGCCTATAAATCTTCTGGTTTATAAGAAAAAATAAATGTTTTTCTTTATTTACTTATTGGAATGTGCAGAGAAAAGCGTGTGACCATTATGTCCTGTTTTAAATGCCCCATTTTATTTATTCATTTATTTATTTTGACACAATTTTTAAGATGAGAATCCTGTAGTTTTATGGCTAGATATAATTTTTTTATCCTGAGCCACATTCTTTAACTTTCTTTTTGCACTGGCCTCCCGAATTGACCTATTTTTTATTTTCTATATTTCAATTGCTTTATGTCCTAGTTTAATGGTTCACGCTCACATAAATATGTTTATTCTTTCAACAAATTTGATTGGCTATAGGCATAAACAAATACCATATATATCTTTGAGAAACTGTCCGTATAATTAAGCCCAAGTCCTGGAACTAAATCTCTTACAGACTTTTTTAATCATTTCATTTTGAAGGACTGTAAAAAAAAATGTGATTTCAGTTTCTTCCTCAGGCCCTCTGTGATGTCACAAAAAATTTCACAGTATCCTTACTTTTAATGGTTAGAAATGAGCCTAATCTTTAAAAAACTTACTCCATTTTTAAGTTCCTGTTGCAGTAGCCAGGCCAAATTAAGGTACTATATCTAAACACACCCAATAGTAAGAAAGTTGCTCTGTTTGGGGAAAGTCAGTTACATAGATGCTTTAACTGGTGAAACAGGTTTCCTATGTTGAGTAAAGAATGGGATAAGGAAAATCTGCAGGCAGTGAAACTAATAACATTATCATTATTGTATTGTCTAGTAAACTTTGGTGAGAGTTTAGAGCAAGGGTTGGCAAACATACCGTAGCTCAAATCTTGTGGGACACCTGTTTTGTAAATAAAGTTGTATTGGAACATGGTCATGCCATTTGTTTATGCATTATCAATGGCTGCTTTTGTATTAAAACAGCAGCAACAGAGACTGTCTGGCCTTCAAAGCAGAAAATGTTTACTATCTTAATTAGTTTCTTAATCCCTGAAGAGGAAAGATGTATGAGGAGGCAGAGTGAATAGTCTTTAGCTCTTTATGATGTGTTTTAGCTAAAGGTTCTAAAAGAAATCACTAGCTAGAATAAGTGGGTGGATGTGAATGAGGTATGTGTTAAACATGAGAATATATTCCCTTGAAGACTCCAACTTCAGGGAGTGTAATTTATCAAGGGCACTAGTGCTGTTCCCAGAAATCAAATGGTTGAGTTTTCTCTGAGCCTATGAGGCCACAGTACCTAGAAGATGCTCCCAGCCAGTGATGAAAATGACAAGGATAATACAACAGTTTATTTCTGAAAGTCTCAGGACTCCTCTGATGGCTGACTCCTAGATTCTGCTTTGGTCTTCCCTAAGTTTCCTCAGTGTTGTTGATGGCCTATGTGGCTTGTTCCTCACCTACCTCTGTGAAGCAGAGTAAGACTAGCATCAAATTTTGAAAGTTTTCCTAGCCTTTTCTGGTTTCCTTCACATTTCTCTCATGGGCATTTTCCCTAACACAATCCTTTTATATGAAACCTGTGTTAGAGGACCAAGAATAAAACAAGCGCTTGCAGGATTCCCAGTTGGGAATGTTAAATACATTTCTTGTGCTTTTATCTTGTTCTTTGGAGCTAAGAAAATGTTTCCAAGAGATATATTGTTTGAAATCTTCAGCATAAAGTCACTTGTAGTTGAGTCCATTATGCATAATAATACCAGTCAGAGATACAGGATGCTATGGTTTGAATGTACTCCCCCCAAAATTTAGATTTTACCAATATTATAGTATTGAGAGGTCAATCTTAATAGTATTTAAGAGGTAGGTGATTGGCACATGAGAACTTCTTTTTTTGTGAATGGGATTAGGTCTTCTTATAATGGGGCTTGATAGGAGAAGTTGGTCCCTATTTGCCTTTCCACCTTCTGCCATGTGAGGACACAGTAAGAAGGTCCTCACTAGACACCAGCACTTTATATCTTGGACTCCTCAGGTTCCAGAACTGTGAGAAAATAAATTTCAGTTCTTAGTAAATTACCCAGTCACAGATATTCTATTATAGCAACATAAATGGTCTAAGATATAAAGAGAGAAAAGGGTAGAGAATAGAACTTTGAGTAATATAAATACTTTAGAAAAATATTTATAATTCACCCCCAAAATGTTATATCCAAATGATGTTTTCATTGTTCGTTAGTTTTAGTGTTCTCAAATATGCATTTAATACATATAATTAAAATAGTGCCAGAAGAACTTTATTTTTGATAAAGGTATTTTTAAAATGATACCTAAAAAGTATGCATAATGAATCAAACATAGGTAATATTGCAGATATATTTTAGTTTGTAATTTTATTTCTGTGTTTTAAAAATAATTTGATTTATAATATTAGATAATTATTTTCATCATAGGTATTTTATAGTATTACAATAATTAACAATTAGAATTACTTGCCAGGGAGTACTGTAAGTAATTATTAGATTTATGTAACTCTTGTGTTGATTAATAGAATATGCTAATGACAGATATTCCAGATAAATTCAGGAAGCTGTTCCAAAGCGTTCCAAAGCTGGGTGGTTTCCAAGTGAAATATTTGTGGAAAGAAGACAAAAGAGAAAGCAGAGAGGCATAGCTGATTTTTGTTAAAAGTGGAAAGTTGGCTAAAAGGAAATTAAGAAATTTTCTTCACTATGGTGAAGAAAAAATGTAACTTGACTAGCCACTAAAATAAATTCTTCATGTTTGCAGTTTTTTAAAGATAAATGCTTTCTTATAAAATATCATGTATTTTAATATTAAAGAAAAGATTGCACCAGACAAAATGAACAAACAGATGTTGGTTTTATTCCAGTACTGTTTTCAGCAATAGGCAAGAGAGAATATAGACGACGTTTGGACACTCAGCTCTGCTGAAGCAAAGGGCAGGAGACATTAAGTGCTGGAGTTGGGAAATTGTAGGTCATCTGTGTTTAATAATTGGCTTTACCCTACCCAATTAGGCCTTACCTAATTTCCTTACCCAAGGGAAAAGTGAATGTTCTTCTATTTTCATTAAGGGTGATAGTTTTACATCTTGGAGCATGGTGGCTAAGAAAGCTAGTCTCTTGCGAGAATTGATAGCAAACGCATTTAGTGATTACTAGATGGATCCATCATTCAAAAATGTATTTAATCCATACAACCACTAGAGAGATGGTATATATGTTATTCCCATTTATAGATAAGAACATGGAGACCTTTAGAAGTTATACGACACATAGAAAACTGAGGGAAGTTAATGGGAGGTTGAGGCAGGAGAATCCCTTGAACCCAGGAGGCAGAGGTTACAGTGAGCCGAGATCGTGCCACTGCACTCTGGCCTGGGAGGCAGAGTGAGACTCCGTCTCAAAAACAAAAAACAACAACAAAACGGAGGGAAGTTAAGTCTGGCTTTAGAGTTGTGATGTCCAATATGTAGTGTCACTTAACACTATCACATATTGGTATATAGATTTGAAATAACTAACGTTAAATAAAATTAAATGTTCAGTTCTTTAGTCAAGCTACCCATCTTTCAAATACTTCATATCACAAGTGGCTAGTGACTACCATAGTGGGCGGTGCGGACAGAATATTTCTAGCTTCTTTGAAAGTGTTAGTGGACAGCACTGCTAGAGCCTATAGCCCCGGAAGAATTCTACCTCGCCACAATGAAAACAGCAGTGTCTAACACATAATAGGTGTTCCATACAGGTTTGTCTCTTTCTGTTCTTTAGAGAAAAATGAGCTTTTTTTTCAATGAAGTTTTATTGATTGATTGATTGAGATGGAGTCTCGCTCTTTCGCCGAGGCTGGAGTGCAGTGGAATGATCTTGGCTCACTGCAACCTCCGCCTCCCGTGTTCAAGCAATTCTCCTGCCTCAGTCTCCCTAGTAGCTGGGACCACAGGGGCCCACCACCATGCCTGGCTAATTTTTGTATTTTTAGTAGAGACGGGGTTTCGCCATGTTGGCCAGCGTGGTCTGGAACTCCTGAGCTCAAGTGATCCACCCGCCTCGGCCTCCCAAAGTGCTGGGATTATAGGCATAAGCCACCGTGCCCGGCCTTCTTTCAGTGAAATTCTTCAAATAAAAAGTTATACACATTTTCAGCCCTCAATATTTTATTGAAAGAGTAAACTCAGGTTAACTGTGAAACCTAGTTCATAAATGTTTCCTGAGAATGCAAAACTGGAGCATTATTTTTCACTTGTATGGGAGTCAACAGCTAATAGGAAGCAGTGACATCTAATCTGGTTCTCCTCACTCATGCTGCCAGAACGAAATAAACTTTCATCAAATATTTCATTCAAAGGTACTACAATTTCATCATGCAACATCTTCCAAACATTGCTTTTTCTGTTATTACAACAAGTAGAAAATGAAATTCCTGCTATCTGTTTCATCGTGTTTAATGTTTGTATTTCAGGAAATTGTGTTTGTTCAGCTATTTGCTAGCAGAGCTAAATGTAAGTTTGCTTGAAAATTGAATTACAGAAGAGCTTTTTTTTTCTTCAAGTATGGATTCTGATCTGTAACAGCCAAATAAGAACTATTTCAGGTCAAATTCTAGTGCAGTGCTGAAGTATTTCTCTGGTCTCAGCAATTTTTTATCAAAGGCAATAATTCAAATTTTTAGTACACTGAAATCATTTTCCTATATGTACATTTTAAATTCTTCCCCAAATTTCTGACTGCTTATTAATCTAATTTTGTAATTTGGAATAATTTCCTATGATATCATTTATTAGGTAAAATTTGAGCAGTCAGTAAAACTATTAGTCCATTAAACAATTTTAACTGGGCCTTCAATTAAGCAAATCACTTTGCCTGCTGTCTAGTTATGCTTCTAAGAAGTCAAACTTAATTTAATTTTAACAATGAAAATAAGGATTATATTATTAATTGTTTTCCTTTTGAAATCAGTTAGTCTGAACATAAAAAAAAATGACAAAATTGAATATAAACTGGCATGGCTATACCAAACAATAAAATTGTATCTCCTCAGGCTATTGACATTACCTGTGGCAACCTCAATTCAAACATCACCTTACGTTAAGTGCTTGTAATTCCTAAGGCAAAATGACAAGGAATAGGACTCTGAAAAGAAATTGATTCAGATGGGGTGAAATTCATCAGAAAGTAAATGTCTTAGTTCCTTTGTGCTGCTCTAAAATAATTTTACAAACTGGGTAGTTTATAAGAACAGAAATTGATTTTCTCACAGTTCTAGAGGCTGGGAAGTGGAAGATCAGGTCACCAGCAAGTGTGATGTCCAGTTAGGGCTGCTTTCTCTGCTTTCAAGATGGTGTGTTGTTGTTATGTCCTCAATGTCCTCACTTGGGAGAAGGCAGAGGGGCAAAGGAGCTGATCTGCATGAAACTTCTTTTAGAAGGGCCTTAATCTCATTCACAAGGGAAAAATCCCCCATGACCTAGTCACATCTTAACTACTACACTTTTTTTTTTTTTTTTGAGACAATGTCTCCCTCTGTCACCTGGGCTGGAATGCAGTGTCACCATCTTGGCTCACTGCAGCCTCCACCTCCCAGGTTCAAGTGATTATCCTGCCTCAGCATCCCTGAGTAGCTAGAACTACAGGCAAGTACTACTATGCCCGGCTAATTTTTTTATTTTTAGTAAAGACAGGATTTTACCACGTTGGCCAGACTGGCCTCAAACTCCTGACCTCAAGTGATCTGCCCGCCTCGGCCTCCCAAAGTGCTGGCATTGCAGGCATGAGCCACCGCGCCCAGCAACTACCACACTTCTTAATTCTATCATATTGGCCATTGAGTTTTAACACCTGAATTTTGAGGGGGACATATTCAACCCACAGCAGTAAATATTAATAAATGTGGTTATGTCAGCAATTTTTAATTTCCATATAACCCAAAAGAAATTACCAACATGACATCTACATTTGTGGTGCACAGATGGAAAAAAAAAATTAGAAGCTATCCCTCATCCCTTTTGAATTTAAATAAAAAGCAATGTTGATTCTTAAATGGTATTTTTACCTGCTGAGAACTATTTTTTTTAAAATAACCCAACAAGGGTTTTCTTTTACTTTGCCTTTGTGCTTTCACTATGTCAAACACAGCCATATTAAAAGAAATAAAAAGGTGCCACAAATGTGATGGACTTCAATCCAGTGTTTCCAATATCACCAAACTTCTTCTCCTTATCAATTAATTATGGAATAATGTTAATTTAGTAACCTGTTAGAGTATAGGTACAAAGTTATCTTTGTTTCAAAACCAGGTTATATTGTTCTCCAATGCCACAAATAGAACTATATTGTACAACTGTATCTGTTAACTAATGCTGATCATCTAGATCTGATTTTATATTTAAGCATCTAATTTTCTGTGTATCAGAGTATGTTTTTCATCTGTTTATAGTTTTTTTAATAGCTATAATAAAAAGAAAAAGCAAATACGCATTTGCAAGGAAATATTTAATTTCCTGCTAGAATAGCCTCAAATGGGAATATCAAGGCAGTAGGAATACTTTAGTCAGTAGCTTTAATATCTTGAACTATATAAAAGCAAATAGCAGAGACTATTGGTAAAAGTTTCCTTTTCCTCAGTCTGAAATTTAAAAAATTTATTGCTGGAAGAAATATTTGAGGTTTCATAGCCTAACCTTCTCCTTCTATAAATAAAAACATTGACTTTGCATGGTGGCTCAAACCAGTAATCCTAGAACTTTGAGAGGCTGAGGCAGGAGGATTGCTTGATGTCAGGAGTTCCAGACCAGTCTGGGTAACAAAATGAGACCCGTCTTTAAAAAAAAAAAAAAAAAAAAAATGAGCTGGCTGCAGTGGCATGCCTGCAGTCCTAACTACTGTGGAGGCTGAGGAAGTAGGATCACTTGCACCCAGGAGTTTGAGGTTGCGGTGAGGTATAATCACATACTGCACTCCAGCCTGGGCAACAGAAAAAAAACTTTTCTGTTTTTTTTAATCTCAAAAAAAATGATAATAAAAACATTGAGGCCAGTATGCATAAATTATTTTAAGATTATAAAATACTTTTATTATTTTCAATCGTTCCTATTTAGAAGGGGATAAACATTTGCAGAAACATACATTTTCCAAGTTCTGGTGTACAGGAAAAATAGAAGAATCATGCAGAAGTGATTTGGTGCCGTAACTGAATAGAAACCTAATTTTCTAAGTAAGCAGCTGATACATTTTTGGGGAAAGGGGACTATAAATCATTTTTTAGGTGACCTTGGCAACAACCATGATTATCATTCATAGCAGCATTTGTGCAGGGTCTGGAAGATGGTCAACTAGATACAATTTTTTTCCCAAGCACAACCATCCTATCAAAATCTAGCATATATTTGGGTTAAAGAAATGTTTGTGCCCTTTCAAGGTTCATATTTGCATGAAATTCTTTATTGCAGTATAATTCCTTTTCTCCTTTACCACACTAAATTTTAAGGAATGTCCTGTTCAATTTCAAGGAAAGGACAATACTTTAAGATCCCCACATCCATTAATAAGTACAGTCAATTATTTATAAATTATACATTTCACAGCATAAGATGGTAAGTTAACATCGATTCTTCTAAAACACGGAGTAAAATCTAAAATAAGATGCTTTTATACCTCTCAGTATGAAGACTAGAGCCCTGAACCATGGAAATTATGCAGCTACGTTTTTCATGTGACATTGAAGAAAGGTCCAATTTATATTGAAGCAAACTGTCTAGAGTGGTCCCTGAGAACCATGGGAAAATCAAGATGTTGTTTAGTGTTGGACACAACACAAAGGGAGAGATGGAGTTTGAAGAAGCTTAATTTGACCCACCCAAGAGAGTAAGGTATTAAAAAGGGAAGGAAGAATGGCCAATAATAGTAATAAACCATTGGAGAGCATTAATGACAGTTCCATCACTTATTATGTTTTAGCTGAAAGTAAACATTAGTAGTTATAAACTCTCCCCAGATGCAAATGCAGAGATTATTTTTAAAACAGTATTTTCCTTTCATATCATGAAGCAATCTGTTCACATTCTTTTAACTAGTAGTTTTACCTGGACAAAGTAATTTGTCTTTCTTTAAAGTAGCATTGTTTTTACTTACACAAGTTCAGGTATGCAGTGAACAAATGTTCATACAATATTGATGAATCATCTTTGTATTGTTTCTCTCTATAATTTTGATAACAATGCATAATTTTCTTGTAGATTTTTGAACCTCACGTGAATTATTAAATGAATTTTAATTTTTTTTTGAGACAGGGTCTTATCTGACATTTGGGCTGGAGTGCAGTGGTGTGATCTCGGCTCACTGCAACCTCTGACTCCAAGGCTCAAGAGACCCTCCCACTTTAGCCTCCCAAGTAGCTAGGACTACAGATGTGTGCCACCACGCCCAGATTTTTTTTTTTTTTTTTTTTTTTTTTTTTTTTTTTTTGGTAGAGACAGAGTTTCGCTATGTTGCCCAGGCTGGTCTTGAACTCCTGGGCTCAAGCGATCTGCCTGCCTCAGCCTCCCAAAGCGCAGGGATTACAGGCATGAGCCACCACACCTGGCCAATATTTTCTTTTTAATACCATTTCAACAAGTTGTTATTTGTACTCAGAAAATAAGATTAACTTAGATAAAGTCAACAACTTGAATATCATATGTTAAACATACACACTCCAAACTTGAGACAATTTATTCAAGAATAACCTTTAAGGTTCAAACAAATTGATTGTCTTGAATGTATGACAATTATAAAATAGTTTGGGGTTTTTATTCTTAATCAGTTAATAAGCTCATCCTGGCAAATTTTGTATTTTACTCAATTTCTTTTTCAAGATTTAAAAACTTTAAAATAAAAATTGCAATAATTGGTGCTTTTAATTATGCTTATTTTTCAGAGTAAAAAAGCAATAATGTATGTGCAGGGTAATACAAACAATAGAAAAAAAACAAAGAAAATATGTGTTCTATTATATCATGCCACAGATATAAGACATCTTTTGGTATGTTTCCTTCCTAAAATAGATTCAAAAAGAGATAAACCAATCATAACTTTTCCTTTAGTAATATAGGATTTTCCTGTATCGGTAAGTGTTCTTGGTAATCCCAAATTATCTCATGTTTTCTAATGATAGGGGATTACAAACATGTATAAAAACAGATTAATTTAATGAACCTAAGGTACTCATTGCTCAGCTTCGGTAGTTATTAAGCATATGGTGAATCTTGTGTCCTCTATATCCCTAACTACTTGCCTGTCATGATTATTTCAAAGTTAAATCTTGACTTTGTGTCATGGGATCTCGATTTTTGATAGCTGCTAAATAATATATTTCTTCTATTTGCCACATTTTAAAAACTGTTCTTTTTTTGTTATATATCTTAATCATCTTCAATATCTGTAATATTTATGTATGACTATTTTACATTCTTTTAAATTTAAAAGGTGAAAAGACAGAAATTACTAGTGAAAAAGAACACATGTGTTAGAGAAAAATTAGTGTCGAATTGAAAATTAGTAGGAGTTTGACATTGGAAATGTCATTTCTTTAAGCCTCAGTTTTCCCATCTATGAAATGGGATTTAAAATACTGTACTAGTTAGCAGAATTGTTGTAATTAATAAAATACATACATGTGTTTCCTGGCACAAACAGGTGATATTTCCTATTGACTAATTTTATCCTTTACTTTCTGGACATATTCATGGGGGAAACAGTGAATCTGATAAAAACCTCTTATTACTCAAGCACTGAAAATAATAAAATAACTTTTTATGAGTATAACTATGGATTTTACAGTGTAAATCAGTGGGAATAAATTTATCAATACTTGTTTATATTTTTGTATTCAAATTTAGCATTTCAGATAAATTACAGCAAGTGATGATTCATTGAATATTAAATATAAGTGTGCTTAAATATAAGTGCATTATATTTGATAGAATATCTTAGTAATTTATATTTTATTTGGTTCTGTTGATGGATAACTATAAATTAGAACATATTGCTATAAATCATTTGAACTTCAATCTATTACCAGAATTCTGAAAATCAGGGAAGGCATTACTCTATAGTTATTTCAGTAAAAATATTTTATGATACATGAAATAGTCCTTTAGAAGTTTTACAAATTGTAATAGAGGCTTTTATATATGGAAACAATCTCTAACATGATAAAGTTGATAATTTGAAGGATAATTTATTATAAAATGTAAATGTGCCTATGATTTTTCTGAGAACTAATAAAATTGAATTTTGATAAATTGACTTAAAGTAACACCCTTAAAGGAACAAAGAGTGATATTGTTGAACATAATTGAACACATTATATTTTTGCCCATTGTAGAATGTGCTGTTTTAATGGCTTATAAATACTGTGAAATATTCATATTATAGAGAAAATGATTAAAATGAATTTAGAAATGGCAAATAGCTCAATTTAAGCCTAGTAGCTATGGACTGGAATGCTGGTTGGACCCAACTAATAGCATGCCTGTAAATAAATTATTTACACTTTGTCACCATCATTTATCTATCTATCTATCTATATTTTTAAAGCTGGGTCATTTAAATGCTTCTTTAAGTCCTTTGAACTATGAACATGGAAAAGTTGGACACTTCTTCCCTATGTCTAAATGGTCTTTTTATAGGTTTTCTATGAAGTAGTATCTTATAAAACTTCAGTAGAAGTGATTTTTAAAAAGTCTCAAGAAATATTGATAAGCAAAAATGGCTCAGACTATTTCTATAGAGATTTTGTTGACTGTTAAGGTGAGTATATGAACCATGCTCAAGTTTACAAAAATGGCAACCAAATATCTAATCTCCCCTAGCTTACAGCAAAGGCACTACATAAGAGTAACATAAAAATATCCTTGACCCAGTCTTTAACCTATACTGGAGTCGAAGAGCATGCAGCAAGAACATTTTCACCAATGGTAGGAACGAATCATCAATGTCCTCTGTGGTCATCTGTGGTAATAAACCAGGTCTGGTGTACCTTCTTTTGCTGGATATATCTCTGTTAGTAGAGAATTAAATGAGGTCATTAATGGCTCAGAAAGGAAAATGTATGAAAACAGTAACTTAGTTTCTGTGTCAGTCTAGATCCTGTCCTGCTTAATGAGAAGATAGGCAGTTAGCTTTTTACATTTTTGTGTCTAGTCAACATGAGCATCCAAATCACAGACATTTATTACACATTTGGTTGGAGAATATGTCATAGGCCATCTCTTCCAAATCAGAGGAAGGTGAAAATTATCTCAACAACACAATTTTTAAACACACAGACAAACAATGTTCTGCAGGATATGTCAAACAGGCAAAAAAAAAAAAAGGTAAAATTTAAAAACTGAGCCTAGAAACATAGTGGGGGAGGGTTATTGGTAGAATTAACAGACAGTAGGATTAGCTACTTGAGAAATGTAAATCACAAGGTAAATTATTTCACAACAGTTTAAGTTCCTATAATGTGTCCAGAGGGATTGATCACCATCAAACAGAAAAAAATGTCAAATGGCTAAGATTAACTGGTACCATTTGTATGAGTCCTTTCTTTCAGATGCCTTCATCTGGCAGAGTTTACTCTGTACATACTCAACCTACTTATTTTCTCCCAAAGGACCAGGGAAAAATTTGATACCAGATAATTACTATATACAGAGCCTCACAGTTCAAATAAAACTGGGTGATAATTTTGATTGCATGTTGATGATAATGCTAAAAATTACATAAAGCCATAGTTACTGTTTATACTGTTTCGGCAAAGCACATCTGTAAATATTTGGTCTATGGCAACTTGATCTTAAATAGTATCATTATGCTTTTTCCACAGAATTGGCTATGCAGGCAGCTGAGATAAAGGTGCAAAATATTAGGATCATACCACAAATGCTTTAAATATTCAATTAGCAATAGTGAGCTCAGAAACAAATACTGCAATAAGGCTTACTTTTCTAAAAAAAAAAATAATTAAAAAGACTTTGTACTTAATGACCAAATGCTCCTTTTCTTAATTTGGGCAACTGTATCATATTGTGTCGACTCTGGGAATGTCCAAGTAGGTTAACAAGCCAAATAGATTGTTGTCTAGAAAAAGTTTTGGCAGAGCTAAATGTGAAAACGCTCAGAAAAATTGTTTGTAATCTTAACTTATAATTTCTAAAAACATTACAAGAATTGTATGTCTTTAATATTAGTTCATAATACAAGTCTTACAAATAATGTAGTAAATGTGTTATTAGCAAATGAAATAGTTGCTAGAAATATTATTTTAGCAAATAGACTAAGTGCACCAGATTCAAATTTACCAAGTTTTTTATATCTGTCAGTACAGTAGAAAAGGGAGTGCTTTTTTTTGAAATTCACTGAAGGAGCATACACTCTACTAAAAAAAAAAAGTCAATATACTCTTACTGAGAATAATACACTTCACATTGTGTGAGTTACAAAAGCAAAAAACAGAACCACGTCCTGGGCTCTTACATGTGCCTAAAAGTCTCATGCATATAAGATACAGAATAATAAATCAGGGATACTTATTTTGGGCTTATTATTTACTTGACCCGGTATTTAGCTCTTAATCCTGGTTACAAGAACCATATTCACCCCCAAAACCCCAACAAAAAAACGCTGTGTAGATATATAGACAAGGATATGGTATTTCTTTTATATTATCACAATATGACTATGATCCCACACAATTATGGGATCATGATGCTGTAAGTACAAATCATGGTCTAGTTGCTGAGAATGAAGTATACTCTAGATAGTTTGATTGTAAAGGAATTTAATATAGACTTACAAAAATACTGAATAATTGGGAGAGATGGAGAGAGAGATGTTAGCCTGGACTTCAGGAACAAACCCCGATATCTCAGTATCTGCCATGATGCCAAAAATGCCACTGCTCCTGCTAGGGCCAAACAATTGCAGGGTGACTAGAAGCTGCCTCTTCAGCATCTAACTCTAGATTTTTGCCTTTTCTTTCTTAGCTGATCCACATATTGGATACATTTATCTTCCACTCCATCTATTTCCCAAATAAAACGCAGTTTTAATTTAAGTTTTCAGTGACAGCAGTAATTTGGCAAAATCTAAATCACGTACAGGTTTATTTCAAGGGCCTCTGGGAAATGACTATTTTAGTGTTCCAGTCAATTTTGCATTAGAGAAAAACAAACTAGAAAGAAGGTTGAAAGAATTTTAAGCAAGACAATCCACATATCCTCCAAAGTATAATAACTTAGACTATCAATATGGGGAAAAAGTCATCTTGGCCTATGTGCAAATCTAGGCTGCATTCTTCTGTTAGCCTTCCGATTCCTACTGAGCTGATGTTGAAGACGGCTATAGACTAAAAGCTGCACACACACACACACACACACACACACACACACCAAGGGGAAAAATCACTTTATTTGCTGAAAGATAAAAGAAGGATGTTGAACACAGCCACTCAGTCCCTCCTATATTTTAGTTGCCACTTTGTTCTATTATTTGAGCATGAGGCTGTCTTTTCCAGTGGGAGCCACCTCCAAACCCGTATTACTGGATAGACTTTATTAAGCAAAAAGTGATTCAAATTACAAACAAGAGCAAGAAGATGCTTCAGTGAGCTGCAGTGGGAGTGTTGCTACCAAATCGTTTTAATTTTTTAATCCATCATGTATGTCCTCAGGAACTGCATCCTCTTGGATAACAGCATTTATCCTTCACTCATACAGGAGCATTTATTTTCCATGTGGCTAAAAGGAAGTATATGAAACAAAAAAACCTTACATATTCCATAAAGGTTTAACAATTATAAGAATCAGGAAAGGAAGAGACAATATGGAGAAATTACCTTTTAAAACTAATTATTAGATAATTTACAGACATTATCAGAGTGTTAGATGCATTCCAAGGATAAAACATTGTTTTAGATACAAATTATTAATGTAAAATTACAATACATAATTTTCATTTTTAAAATACTTATTGAGCTTAATATAGTAGGCTTATACCCACATAAAACACATGGAACATATATGTGTTTTGGTAGAAGAAGGTGGATTTGCAAGTTATTAAATATTAAAATATTAAAGATATTACCATAGAAATCATAAGGATTAGAAAGAAGTGAGCAATCATGTCATATTTAAAATCTCATATTTTCCTAGTATGTGCCTCAAATATAATAGGTACATAATAAATATTTGCTAAATCAGTGATTTACAAAAACGTAGATTCATAGAAGTTTTTCATCTATTACCAGTAACAGCATATACACACTCAAGACAACATAACATAATATTACATTTTTATTACATACAAATTTAAATTGTTAGACTGTATTGCAAGTAAAGAATTTAGCTGTGCGGCCTTCCTTGTTGAAAATGCAAACAAGAAAATCATATAATAAATGATAAATACATTTATAGGTACTAAATTACTACTATTGATATCGAACAGCCTGGAACGTTGTGCAATATGTGTAAAATAAAGAATGCCCCAAGCTGCAGTGTTAAGGTAGCCTAGGTTTGTCTACTCTTCGTGCACTTTAGTGTTTATCTTAAGAGACCTCTTGGAAATTTGCCACTTCTGGACAACTGGAAATGGTTAGAATTTCTGTTAGCCTATTCATTGTCTCACTAAGCCTCTATTCATATTATGAAAGGTATCACCAAAATGTCCATGAGACTGTACAGTTTCTTTTTTTGTTTCTTTTCCTTTCTGTTTTTCTTCAGGATCCCCATCTGTCCTCTGGAGTTCTCTGTTACATCCTTAGGTAATCTGGAAACCAACCTATTTTCTATGACAAAGGCTAAGAATCATTCACTATTATTATGCAGAACTAATCTGTAATTGAAACCCCTTTTTGTGAATCCCCCCAGGTATTTTCTCACCATTATCACTGAGGTGACTTGTTCTGTGTCCAGTTCATTGAAATTCCCAGACCCAGATGATTTGATAGCCGGTTATTTTAGAATTTTGCCCTTATTTACTTTTATCTGTCAAGTAAAGCCAAGGGATTTTTTTTCCCATCTCTTTTGCAGCAATCACAAGTTTTAAACTGTGACAATAACTGCTTAGTGTGCAGAATACTTTAGAGAAATAGTGTTGAACAATTCTTGTTAATAATGTGAATTTGGGTGAATTGTAATGTTGGGGAAAAAGATTCCATAAACTGTATGTCCCTTTATGCATCTTCCATTAGTTAGAAGAAATTGCTCTTTATAGTAAAATTTACAGTAAAATTTTAAAAGGGTATGCATTCAAATTAAGGGCCATGAATATGAGCATTTATAATATGAGTTATAGAGTATTTCAACAATAGATGTAAATAGTAGTGGCTAGTATGAATTTCATACCATGTTTTCTCTATTAAAATTATGCTATGATTTCCATCTCTCAACCTCAAAACTTCTTTATCATCAATCTCAGGGCTAACTTTATCAAAAGAAAAGGAAAAAAGAGATTCTGAATTATGCCCAAATATTTATTTTCATTAGAGCATGATTGTTTTTAATTTTATGGAATCTAGGATTTATGTATAATATAATTATATTATTGTGTAATAGAGTTGTTATTGTGAATCCTGATGAACTCTTAACAACTCAATAAATAATAACATTTAATACAGATATATCTGTGAAGACATATGCAAAGAACTTGTAATAACCTAAAGAAAACCTCACCTTGTGAGAAAATTTATTAATTTATTCAGTAAGATTTTAGATTTGATACAAGTGAGTTCAATCCTGCTTCACCTTATTTTTTCTTTGGGAACTTGAACATATCACACATTTTCACGTCTCTTTTTTTATCTGTAAAGCAAACGTTATAACAAGATCCACATCTATTTGCTGTTAGGTTTAAATTCAATATTATAAATAGGTGATTTGAACGTTTGTTGTATTCATAAAGTGATTAATAATTATTAGATGTTTTAAATATTATTTCCTCAAGTCCCCAGGTTTGCTTCACATGTATTTATTTTAATTTTTTTTTTATTTTGTTTTTGAGACGGAGTCTCGCTTTGATGCCAGGCTGGAGTGAGTGCTGTGGCGCGATCTGAGCTCACTGCAACCTATGCTTCCCAGGTTCAAGCCAGTCTCCTGCCCCAGCCTCCCAAGTAGCTGGGACTACAGGCGTGCACCACCATGCCCGGCTAACTTTTGTATTTTTAGTAGAGACGGGGTTTCACCCTGTTGGCCAGGATGGTCTTGATCTCTTGACCTCATGATCCACCCACCTCAGCCTCTCAAAGTGCTGGGATTACAGGTGTGAACCACCACACCCAGCCGTTTGCTTCACTCTTTACTTTGAGTGTCATATGGAGTGCTGTCTTCCCAATGGATATGACTTAACATGGCCACTAATGTCTCTAATAACCACTTTCTAGGCAGAATGTTTCTAAAAGACTCACTGCGCTTGGACGCCTGCTTTCATGTGCCAGGCATGATTACATTTTTTATATATTATCAGTGACTGAATACAATAGCTCTTAGCACAGGGCATAACATCCTAAGGAGAATATTTGTAAGCAAGTTGCAACATCAAGTCAAATTTTTTGTTATTTCTGTTAGAAACTGGAAACCAAGATACTAAACGATCTGGTTCAAAATTCTGTATGGGTCCACCCTAATGTGAATCAGTGTGAATCTCTTTATTCAGGTCCTATTCTTCTTTTGTCTAACTCAACCATGCTGGGATGTCCACTGCTTGCTTCAAAGCTTTTATTTCTAATAAGAAAAAATCATAATTTCCTTTGCACCTGCACAAAGTTCATGGAGTATTGATTCTTTATCAGTTGTCCTCTATGAGATTCTTTGTTACCCTCCAATACACTTTACAAAATTTTGGCTGGCTGCCTTACTTTTTACACACAGTTAAAACGGCTTACCTTTTTTTTTTTTTCTAACTTGATAGCTCTTTGTGTAAATCCACTCTATCTGTAAATCATGTTCTCTTGGCTGCAATCAGTATCCTGGTTCTGTGTAGTGAGGCACCCAGAGAAGAATTCACAACTCCTTTTAGCAAAACTGGTAAAGGTCTGAAGTGAAAACCAAAATGAATCTATAATCCTAGAACATCATGGCATTGAGTATGTAATATGAATAAATCTCTGTATACCTTTGCTCCTAAATCAGCTTGATCAATCTGTTATTAGTAATTTACAATACTTGTATTAGTAAATTACAGTAGTAATTTAATCACTTTACAACCAATATTGTTTGGTTCCTAATTTATGAATCTTAAAACCCATTCACCAGTTTGAAAACTAGCTATCTCTCTGACTGCTCTACTTCTGTTAATATTACCACAACTGTTCTACTCAGCAAGATTAAAATACCCAGTTTAAGCTTTAAGATTTCTAACAGCTTTGAAACAGTATCTCTTTATTCCACAAGCCTGATGAGGCTTATTTTTGATATCCATCTTTTAATTTCCATTTATACAGAATCACCTTTGCTCAAGCTTTTGCTAACCTGTGCCTTTACCCTTCAAGGATGTTAAGGCCTCCTAATTAGTTTCTTTATCAACAATCTTTCTTGTCCTCTGGCATCAAATTATTTTTTTCTAAAATACCACTTGAATCTTGGGTTTTAGCATCAGTTTCCAAACACAACATTAAAATGTTCAGATATTCAGTGTTTCAAGAAGCCCTTTGAAAATTACATTTTTCCAAAGACAAGATTGAACAGGCATTTCATTCGTTTTGTCCTTTTGTGATACTTGCCTTTCTACTTCAAATATCTTTGAGAAAATAACCAATTTTTCTTAAATATGCTCTATTTTCAACCAAATATTAGTCCATTAATGACTATGCAAATGCCATAAGAATGTTATTTGTTATCACTGACATAAATGTGATGGCTGCTTATGAAACTTAATTTTTACCAAAATTAAATGATTAAAAATTAATTAAAGTGCTGAGACTTACTCCAAATAAACATTTTGTCATTATAGAAATAAGGGGAAATTTAAAAGTAGTATGCATATACTGGAACTATATTCATAAGAAAAGATTCAGTATTATGGGTGGACTTAGGTACAGCTAATGTCATTTATTAAGTAACAGAAGACAGCCCATTAACAGTAGAACCAAAAAGGGAAATTCTAGGTAAAAATAGACAAAATTGATAGCTATGTTACTCACAGATTCCAGATTTATTATATTTTGGTATGCTCCTTTAAAATTTATATTTATACTTGGTCAGTTTTTAAAAGTAAAAAAAATTCCAAAATAAGTTGCATAGCAAAACTTTTCCCCTATGGCTTTGAGATACATATTTTTAAGGATAAGATTTAATTGCATTCCCCTAAAAGATGTACTTGTTTTCATAGCTGATCTGAGATAAAGATTTACAAATGTACTGCATCTCATGACTGAGAGGAAGTTATTTCCCTAGTTTCTACTTTTATAATAGAGATGAAACCAAGTAAAAAGGCACATCACCCACAAAAAACCACCACTGTGCAAAAAGCACATGCTTTAGTCCTTCTCCTCTGTTTAAACACTTACTTTGAAGCAAATAATAAATCTGGGTCTCTGAGATAGGCTAAAAACTTAACTAGATTCTGTTAAAGAAAAAAAAAATGTGGCAAATAATTCTCACACCATCAGTTGGATGAGTCCACTTTACAAGTTCCAGTTGTAGTCTAGGGAAAACCATTTACCAAACAAATTAAAAAAAAATACAGTTGCACAGGGCACTATAGGTCAGGGCTACTAATTTCCACATTGAACAACTTGATGCTGTGTTGTTAGGAATCTGATTGAAACATATAACTTTATTGCAAATAAAGATGCTGAGTATCTGTAGACCAAGAATAAATTCCTTTCATCTGAAAATGAACTGGAAATTAATATTTTAAAAATATCTACACAAATATCTCTCATGTCAAGTACCAGACATGCCAGGTACTTTCATCTATTCTGTCTTGTACAATCATAAAAATCAAGCAAACAAACAAAATAATCATTTACCAGTCCTTTCACATGTATTGTTTATTCAGTAATAACTATGAACCAGGTATTTTGTGTATCTTCTTTAATAGCCCTGAAAAGGTTTGCATTAAAATGCACTCTTTACAGTAAATGAACAGAGGCCCCATAGATTGATTAACTTACTGAATTTAATACGGCATGTAAATGTTATGTCAAAAGTGAAAGTTTTTGTTTTCTGCTTTTAAAGCAGAAGTCCCATCTCCTTTCTCCACAATTGATACCGGTGGCTGACATTAGATTTTATTTAAAATCTTTTACATTTTATTATATGCCAAAAATTATTTTATATAAGTCAAATAGCATGATTTGCCCCTCTTTTTCATGTCCTCATGATTGTTCATTTTTTTCACTCCCATTGCTACATGATTTGTGAGCTATAACTAATGAATACAGTGAGGAATCCTAAATTCATTAAAACTATTGGAGGGAGGGGGCCAAGATGGCCGATTAGAAGCAGCTATGGTCCCTGGCTCTCATGGAGATGAATGAAAATGGCAAGTGAAATCTGCACCTTCAACTGAAATATCCAGGTTCCGCATTGGGACTTACTAAGTGGATGGCTTGACCCATGGGGACCCCTCACTCCCAGCCAGCAGAAGCGGTGAGTGAGTGTGCGGCCCCACCCAGGAAACCACACTTTTCCCCTGGATATTTGCAACCTGCAGATCACAAGATACCCTCGTGAGTCCACACCACCAGGGCCTTGGGTCCGAAGCAGATAGCTGCGCAGACACTTGGGGAAGTGACCACTCGGCCCTGGGAATTCTAGTGAGGCAGGAGATTTATCTATGCATTCGCCTAGGAATGGGGCTGAATCCAGGGAGCCAAGCAGCCTCATTCTGTGGGCCCCACTCCCCTGGTACGTCACAAGTTAAGACCCACTGGCTTGGAATTCCAGCCAGCCGGTGGCAGCAGGCTGGAGACTGCTTGAGATGAACTGAGTTCCCAGGGGAATGGGTGGCCGCCATCTCTGCGGTTTTACCTGAAAGACAAACTAGACATAAAATTATTACGAATCCAATTATTATGTTTATTTTTTCTTAATCTAATTACCTATTTAGATTTGTTCTAAGATTTGTTCTCTTTTTGAAAATCAGGTCTTCAAAAGCTAATGGTTCACATAGTTTACACTTTAGTTTCTTTTGACATTAGGCTAAGTGAAAGAACATCAAGACCATCTGCTTATGGTCACATTTGCCAGAAGTGGTATATGCCTTTAGTAAGTGCAAGTAATATAAACATCCTGTACTTTTTATTTTTCAAACGTTAGGAATCTTGTTTTAGAATGATCTGTATTTACACAAAATTTTTATAACAGAACGGTTGTCAAATTTCATGACTCCAATTGCCTGTACCCAATTACATAATACACTTTACTTCAAATTAGTCACCTAAGCAAACACTCTAGTTTACTCTTTATAAATTAAGTCATGTACTCTGATCACACAAAAGTGAATAATTTGAAAAGTATAGAACAGTATACCTCTGTTTATTTCTACTGGATATTATGAAGAGTTTCTGACACTAAAAATAATATTACGACCTGTTCTTGCTGGAGAACATATCATTATTCCACTGTATATGGGGTTTAGTGAGTAGTGGTTGAGTTTCAGGAAAAAAAATTAAAAAAAATTCCAAATAGGTAATTTATAACTAATTTGTGAAAAATGTACTTTCTGCATTGTTAAATATTTATTGTAAATGTGATTCAAAAGTTGAAACTGGTCATTTGTACCAGCTGGTGACACCTTGTAGCTCTGCATAATACTAATGAAATTTAATCCTACCCGGCAACAGAATTCACTGAAGGAAGATACGGGACCTTGGTGGATGACACATGTGAATGACCTGGCTCCCAAAACAGACAGACAATAGGAAGTAGCATTGAGTTTCTAATTTCAGAATTAGGTTATCATTTTTACCTTTCCCCCTCTAACCAAATGACCTAATAAATCATGTATTTGAAAGGCACAAAGATTTTCATGCATTCTCCTGTTTAAATCAACTTATGATCCTCAATAATTTTATATCAGAACTAGGAAATTTTTGTGTAGACAGGTAAAATTTATATTGAGCATGATCTCTCTAGTTCTTAATAAATTACCAAGTATAATATCAAAGCCTACGGGAAAATGAGGCCAATTATAAATTGTCTAATTGTGTTTCTGAGAAACGTCAACACAAGTTAATAGAAAATAGCTAAATACTTATAATCCTTATCTCCTCAGGTATAACATTGGCTTGTGAAAAGAAAACTTGCATTTGTCAAAAATTTTAATATATTTTGAATAAAACAATTCCATCCAAATCTACGATATACAGTAAATAAAAGATTTTCTTTAAAAACATACCAACGCAAAATAGTTTACAATATGGATTTAGCTAGAGGGCTATGAATTAATATTATGTATGTTAACATGGATTGGAAGCCAATATTTATGGCAAGAATTAAATTCTGTCAAAAATCCAATGTTATATGTTTTCTTCACACTGAGCAAGAATAGTTACTTCTCCACAGAAATGGTTTTTAAACACTCCTGGTAAAAATGACTCTCTTCGATTAAGTGTACTCAAATCAACAATGCCTTCTTTTCTTACTGATCACCAAGTACAAAACCCAGCACGCTCAGTATAGGACCTAGGTAGACTACATGAAGCTTGAAACACACAATTCACATTTCCAGGCCATTATAATCTTTTATTTGGATAGAAGAACATCTTGAAGATGAGTCAATATTTTTCTTGTTGTTTTAGTTATGAATTTGGATTGAAACTGTGAAATGATTATAATTGGATTTCAATAAATTTTTTTCCTTGGTGATTCTGTGCTATACTCAAAACTAATAGAAGCTAAGAAAAGTTTTATCCTTATGAAAGCCAATAACAAAGGCCAGTGAAGTTTTACATTTTTTCATTATTTGGGAACATTTTGCAGAAAATGTATTTGCATATTTGAAAGGTTAATTCATTGAGTGGTATTATGAATAGGTATTGGTGATGGGAACACTCATGTGAGACAGTGGATGTATCACCTTCTGTCTAATTGGCTTGTCATTCTGAGACAATAGAAACAATTATTTTTAGAAAATCAGGGCTTTATTATCATGGAAAATGACTTAAGCAATCCTAACTGTTTTGAAAGACTTTAAACATATCTTTGCTTTTGTTAAACCTTCAATACTTCGAATAAATGCAACTCATTTTATATTTATATATATTTAATTAGTGAAAGCTGAAATTCATAACTATATATTTTCTTAGAAATTAACTTTATCCTTTGATTTAAAACTTTAATATTTAAATTGCACTTGTTTTAAGAATTTGACTATTAAATATTAAACTTAAATATTTGTAAACAAATATAATAAATATATAATTTTGCATAGGAACTTTTTTGTTATTCCAAAAAAATCATATATGACAGCATATCAATTATTCAATTCATCTAAAGATATCTATAGTTGATTATATTCAAAAAATATATTAAGTGTATATAGTCAATTACAGTTCATAATTTTTAAAAATCAACTCTAAAATTTTATATTTCATCCTACGGGTTATTTACCAAAATCATTTGTTGTGATATACCTGATTATTTGTGATTTATTTACCCAATGCAATTGAAGAATTGAGACCCAGACACAATTAGCCAGTGGCTTAAAAATATATTTTTTAATATCACCAATGTTTTTAAAATGTAATTTTACCTGAGTTTGAATGCAGAACACTGAATATGTGCCAGCTATATTTAAAGAATAACTGTCATTATGTTCCCTGTGGAAATCATATACTCTTCCTACAAATAAAATGGTAGATTTAAGGGTAATATATACTGACCTGCTTTATGCTATTCTAGATGTATGTTCTAAATATGTCCCATTTAGGTATGCATAAAGTTGTTTTATGATGCATGAATATATATACATTGATGTGGATCTGGTATAATTTAACTTCAAAATGTTTTGGTTTTTTGGTTTTGTTTTGTTTTTTTGAGATGGAGTCTTGCTCAGTCACCCAGGCTGGAGTGCAGTGGCACAACCTCAGCTCCCTGCAACCTCCGCCTCCCGGGTTCAAGCAATTCTCCTGCTTCAGCCTCCCAAGGAGCTGAGACTACAGGTGCATGCCACCACACTAGGCTAAATTTTTGTATTTTTAGTAGAGACGGGGTTTCACCATGTTAGCCAGGATGGTCTCGATCTCCTGACCTTGAGTTCTGCCCGCCTCAGCCTCCCAAAGTGCTGGGGTTACAGGCGTGAGCCACCACGCCCAGCCATTCTTTTTCTTTTAAAGTAGCAAGCACATTAAGATCAACATCTACTATTTTCTTTTAAACTTTTATAAGCACTCATACTCACATATCCTAAAGTAAAACGAATTGAAAATTGAAAATAAATCATTTGATCTAAATGAAAAGTCATGCTTCACAGGGCTATATATAAATGCACATTTTTCAAGTGTGCATGTTAAATTATTGCCATTTATATATTATTTTTTAATATAAGTAACACATTTTGAAGTAGATGCTGAAACAACTTCAGATGTCTGTTTTTCATGTAATCCATGATATTCGTAGATCCCCAAAATGTGTAAGATACATGCCATCAACTTTGAGAAATAGAAATTTGGATAGTAATTTTTCATGAGACATGCACTTTCATTTTTTAGTTTATTGATATGCTGTCAAAATATTTTATTATAAAATAAAAATAATTGCATTACTATAAAAATAAGTATAGATTAACACCATATAACAAATAAATAAATTTTAAAAAAGCATTCGGATTTGTCTCTGAATAGAAGCTTCTATTTCCCATAAATATTTTATACACACTAAACCTATACTTTACCCTGTTTCCCAGCTAACCTGTTTACTGTGGACTGATTGCTTCATGCAACTCACATTCTGCAACTTGGACCATGGCATAACTGGCAGCAATATTTAAACCTGCTCCCACTAACATTATAACCAGAATGAGTTAGTTTTCCTTACTGCTCCTATCTAAGAACATTTCTCTTAGTAGCAAGCACCCTGAAGACTGTCCTCAAATGGGAAGTGTTAACTACATCATATCTGGAAGGCAGCAGGGAAAAAAAAAAGATGAGTTATTTTGTGATACATTTTAGATTTAAGAACATACAAAAATAAACACATGCTCCTCACAAAATGAGATCATAGCAGAAACTGGAAGTCAAAGTGGAAGTTCTTAAACACATCTGGCTTATATCAATAAAACTACTAATAATAGCATTTCCTTAGAAACTAAAAAATCTTCAACAAAGTTTGATCTGAATAAAGCACTAGTACAACAGGCATAAAAGGAACTGTCCTCCACACACTGAGATATATGTTTACAATATTCTCAGCCTTACATTTGATAGTTGCCTCCGACTGTTTACTTAATATTTAACATATGTTCAGTTAATGATTTCTCACTTGCAATACCTTTAATTCCTATCATTATCTTTTATATATGCAAAGTCCTTCATATATTTCATCTTGTGGGATGAAGTGCAGCAATTTAGCATCCTGATCTTTAAGGTTTCTAATTGTCATACAGTATATTTCTTGTTCTTTCCAAATTCCCAACATCTATGACTCACTGCCTTATCATTTAAGGAGTATTACTTTGCTCATTCACTATGCTTAGTTACTGTAAATATTTTACTGTAAATGAGCTAGGATTTCCCAATAGAGTGAAAACAGCAAGTTAAAAAATTATCAGAAACACTGGAGCTTAAAAATATATGATGTGGCTGGGAGAATAGCTTAAAGTAGACATTCTATAATATTGGATTAAAAATTAGGAAATTATCTGTCTTCTATATATTATCCACACCTAATCAAAATCTAATTTGCTTTCATTAAACTTACTAAGTGTCTCACAACAGATATTTCAGATCAAGAGATAGACTTGCAATTGATTTTAGTTCTAACATTAACTACTGACCTATAATAATTGGTTTAATTTATAAAATAAGATTATTGATGCTTACTGCACAAAATTGCTTAAAATTAAATGAAATAAAGTATGCAGGCCATTTAATTTCATATCTGGCTTGTGTTAAACATTATGTTATATACATAATTATAATTCTTAATCACCACTATCGATAATTATATATATTAAATGGCTATTAATATATACTATATACTATTAATATATACTATATTCATTATATAATATATTAATAATTATACTAATATAGTATACTATACTAATATATGGTATATAGTATACTATATTAATATATGGTACATAGTATACTATACTAATACATGGTACATACTATACTATACTAATACATGGTACATACTATACTATACTAATATATGGTACATAGTATACTAAACTAATATATGGTACATTATATTAGTATATATAATATAGTATACTGTATATTAGTATATAGTATACCATGCTAATATATAGTATAGTATATACTAATATATAGTATACCATACTAATATATAGTATATAGTATACCATACTAATATATAGTATATAGTGTATATAATAGTATGTAATATGTATACTATTTATATATACTAATATGTACTAAGTGTACACTGCACTTCCCAGATTATTATAGGACAAAAACACACTGTTTCTCTATTCTCTTGTTCTCACGGCTACTAACATTGACCTAATCCTATCTTTTATTACATTTTGCCTAGATTTTTGCCAAACCCTCCAATTTAACTTTTCTCTCTCAGTCAGACTTCAATTTCCTGGTAATTGCCTTCCAAATTACACAGGTAAATGTTTTAACTTATACTATTAATAATTTGTAATGATTTCATATTACTCTTGGAAGTAAGTTAAAGACCCAGTAATTATCAAGGCTGTATGTGATTTTATTAGCCACTTCCATGGTCATTTATTCTTTCTGTTATTAAGATTTAGTGATCACAATGTATATGCCAGGTTGTGTTTTACATACTAAGCATAGAAAAATCGTTTGGATAAGATATCTAAAGAGGTTAATGAGAAAATCCTTTCACTGATAGATGTAATGGAAGCAGCTTGATGAGGCCGTGGGGATATCAGCAAGGACCAACTCTCTCTCTGCACAGTAAGAAGATGGCACTTAATGTTATCCTTGAGAAATGGATGTTTTCCAGAAGAAACAATATGTGCAAAGACTCAGAAAATTAAAACTTACAGCTATTCAAGGACAGTGTGATAGTAAATGGCAGGAGATAAGATTATAAAAATTGGTTAGAGATGAATATGATGGCAGGTACTTTTGACAATTTTATTTTATAACATATAGGTACAAAAGAAGAATGTGAACAAAGAGATCAACACATTAGATTTAAATGATGGGTATAAGAAATTGTCATTCTGCTAAAAGGAAAGAGTGAAAAATGAGCAACATACAAGCAATTGCATATTTCAAGTAAATATTCTAAGCTACTAGCTGTAGCAGTCAAGGACAATTGAATTTCTAAACCTCTAAAGAATAGTATGTCATTTAAAAAGTTAGAAGGAGGTTGTTTGCAAAGGATTTTTTTTTGTTTTGTTTTATATTAGTAAAAAGAGTAGGACTTAGGGAACAAAACTCTTAAATATCTTAAGTCCAAATAAAACTAGATTAAGTTAAATCCATATTGTGCAGAAATGCTAGAAAGAGTATACCATATTTTAATATATTTGTTAATTTATTACATTTTAGAAATAGATTTTGTATGAAGTTATGTTTAAAATACTCAAATATAACAGGCAGAATCTACTTAATCTAAATGATCAGGTATTTGAAACTAGTTGAAAACATCCAAATTATTAACTTTAATTTTTTCTTTTTGTACTTTTGTTGTTTTTAATCACATAAAAGCAAAATGACAGATTGAAATGTTTCTGCACTGCTCTGCTATATTACCATATTTGTTTTGATCTTATATTAAAAACATAATTAGCACAGCGGTAGGGGTTTATGAATTTGGGAATGACATATTTCTTAGAGAATGTAACAAAAAGAACTTTTCCCATTCTTTATCCTCAGCACATATAAGTGACTTCTGCATAAACCCACAAAACATTTATGTAATATACTGACTCATATGTAAATTCAGATTTCTTTATACCCTACTATAGTTGCCTTTGGGATCATGGAATATATTTTAAGAATACTGTCTTTAGATATTGTTAGAGAGGTTTTATCTTCTAAAAATAAGTAGGTTAGAGAAAAATTATCTTCTGAATTATCAATCAGTATATAAATTCAACCTGTTAGGCAACCAGTTAACTGGATTTTTGATCTACATTTGCTCAAATATATGTGTATGTAATTCATGGAAATTTACCAAAGCACAAGCAGCTTCCTGCTATTCCTTGACTAAGGACTGACTGTAAGATTTGCCCTGGCTTTTCCTATTTAGTCTTTTCTTGGGACTGTGACATTCATAAGCACCTCAGTAAGAAAGTGAACTAGGAAATATAACGGAGATCCGATTGTAATGATTTGGCAGTAATTGATCTAAAATTACAAAAATAAAATTAACAGATAATTTTCATAGTTCATCTCCATATATGATTCCTGCTTAATTAAGAGTTGGCACAAAGTCTTGTAATTGGTTTTAATTTCATGATGTACATTATATACCTTGACTCTAAAAATAATTAAATAATTTCAAGTACTAGTTTGTTATTCAGTAGATTGCAGAATCAATATGCTCTGCAATTTAAGTACACAGAACTGTGGGGTTTTTTTCTACTTTGATCTACTTTGGCCCTTAGGTGTCTACTCACTAGAACAGTGTTTCTCAGTTTGGGATGATTTTGACTCTCCACTCTTACCTGGTGACATCTGGCACCCTCTGGAAATATTTGAGATGTTTTTGGTTGTCATCATCTTAGGAAGAGTGATACTGGCCTCCGATGAATTGAGGCCACGGATTTATGGGAAACATCCAGTGAAACATAGGATAGTTCAACACAGCAAATAATGATGAGACTGAAATGGTCTATAATGCAAAACTTGGGAAACCTTGCAGCAGAGAAAATGCAACAAATATCTAGGAAACGTTTTTTTTTTTTTTCTGTTTCCTCCACTCCTGGACTTATGCAAAATAATGTGATAATTTGGGACAGTCTATCGTCTAACCCTTTTTTTGGGCGTATTATGTATTTAAAAACCTGTCAGAAGTCACTGGGTTTGTAGGTAATTGGTCATATGCCTACAGCTAATTGGCTGCATGACAAAATAATACCAATACTGCATCTAGAACACTAGAATAACATATAATTTCCTTTATTAAGACAATATATTTAAGAAAATATTAATTATTATGATTCCCCAAAATGAGATCTGTTGCCCAGTCTGTGTAAAATTTGCATTGTATCACTTTAAAGTATGTAATTTTATTATTTTCAAATGATTATTTCTAAAATTTTATAGCCAGAAATGAAATTTGTAACCAGCTCTGTATCTTGTTTAGAAAAATTAATCTATCAGGCTTTGTTATACATCTCACAAAGATTGTGTGAAGTTATTTTCTTTCTTTTTTTTTCCTGGCTTTTGAAAAACATTGTCTATTGATGAAGTATTGGAGGCAATTAAAAAGACTCACTCTCAAGGAGCAGTTGAATGTGTCCATACTGGAAACCTGGGAACAGAGAAGCTTTGCTATCAGCAAGTTAGGAAACTCATGAATACTTTAGATGTAGCCTAAAGGCTGCGTGCATAGGTGGATGTTTGTTAGGAGCTGCTGACTTGTTGAAAAATAAATGCCTTCTATTCTAAAATGCTTTCAGGGCTTTGGCTTGCAAGTCAGGAAGTGCTGCTGAGATTTAGAAGCAGGTACTGCAATCTCCAAACCAATTTTCTTCGCTGCTTCTTCTAGGCTAGAATGGCTTTGGGAAAGCACCACCTTTCCAAGACTTAGAGAAGTCTTTTCCTGGGCCTTTAGTTTTGAGATTTCAGATTTTTATTTCTCATAAAAACTGCCCATGGGCTTACTGGTCCTAGAGATAAAAATAGAATACAATTGGAGTAGAATGGCCCACACTCTATCTATGTTTAGTTTTTATATTTCAAATACTGAAAGACAGTTAATAAAAAAGTTACATTTGAGACTTTTTAGAGACACAATTACGTGTCTCTAAAAATGTTGTTTCTATAGCAGAATTCAAATAGCAAATCAAATTTTTATTCTTTCAATTTTTTGTCTCCAAGATTATTTCTTCAAACTCTACATATGTTGAAAAACATGAATACATGCCATGTTTTTTGTTTGTTTGTTTGTTTGTTTGTTTTATCAGGCTGAATGATGGTAAATATTGAAAATAATTTCTTCCAAAGATTTATGACAGCCAACCTCCCATTATTGCAATTTCTGTCTAATTAGGTGCTATATACTCAAAGTATTTCCCAAAAATTTATATGTTGAAATCCTAAATCCAAATGTGCTGACATTAGGAGATGGGGCTTTAGTAGGGTGATTAGGTCACAAGGGTGCAGTCCTCATGAGTGTAATTATTGCCCTTATAAAAGAGGCCCAGAGAATTGCTTTATCCCTCCACCATGTGAGGACACAGGAAGAAGACAGTTGTCCGTGAACCTGGAAGCAGTTCTTCATCAGACACTTTGTCTGCAGAATCCTTGATCTTAGACTTCCCATCCTCCAGAACTGTGAGAAATACATTGCTGTTTTTTTGTAAGTCACTCAGTCTATGATATTGTGTTATAGCAGCCTGAATGAACTAAGCCATTAGAGAAGGCTACAATACTTGAGAAAATAGTGTAGTTTCTATGTAGGGGTGTGTGCTACACAGAGGTTGTCTTTTCTTGGCACACTGTAATAAGTAACTTAGATATAGTTTTATTATTGAATAAATATGAAATATAACTTGGATATATTTATAGTTATTTTAGAAAACATAAATAAGATAAAATGTGTGAAATTAAACAATACCCATCAAAACCTGCCCGAAATCACCCCGTATTAATTTTTTCATTGGCATCTTGATATTTTAGATAATATATTGTTGACAATTGATAGCTAAAATAACCAGAATAGAATGGATTTTTTTTCCTTTGCAAATTAATTCATGACTTGTCCAGAGATAAGAAAAATATGCCAAATGTATTTCCACAGTCACATTTAATGCAAAGTAATTAATTTAAGATGAAAATTAATTATAGGTACTCTGGAAAAAGCATTTTGGATTCATTGTGAAAACTTCTAGTTGTAATATGGTAAATGTTTAACATATTAACAAAATCACAGGGAGAACTTAAATTTCAAGTTTCAAATATTTAATTCAGTTGTGGAATATCAATCTCTAGCCCCTATTATTTATCACAAACAGATTGTTATTACTGATCATTGCCTTATGTGGATACTAATATCAGTTATAAAACTATCCATAACAAATTCATGCAATCATTTTAGCCAGGATTCCTGGGTGGTTTGTTTTGAATAATATTTTATTTTGCTGTCCATAATTTTTTTAGACACAACTAATTGCTTAGTACCTAATCATTATGCTGTTACTTTTTAAGATCTTTTTATCTTTTTGATTGTTAATTGACAGTGTGCTGAGACACATCGGCTGTCAGTTTCTTCCTGATTCAGAGTTAAAAATTTATAAAGACTTGAGATTATTTTGTTATTTTTACTTTTACTTTTTTAAAACATTAGGAATCCTAATTAATCTGTTTCCAATGAAGTCAGGATACAAAAATTAATGATTTCATGTAATAAAGCAAAAGACATTTGTGGAGAAGCAGGGTCCTTCTCCACAAATTGTTTTATTGCTGTTGTTTTAACTTGTTTATCTTTCCACCACAAATACCATAGAAACTGACCTACCTCCACTATGAGGTTTTTTGGAATAAAGTCATGTACCACATAATGATGTTTTGGTCAACTATGGTTTGCATATAAGATGGTGGGCCCGTAAGATTATGGTGGAGCTGAAAAATTGCTATTGGCCTAATGACTTTATAGCCATTGTAAAGCACTAGCACAATGCATAACTCATGTTTGTGGTATGCTGGTATAAACCAACTTACTGTGGCTGCCAATTGTATAAAAGTATAGCACAAATAATTACATACAGTACATAATGCTTGATAATAATAAGGCACTGTGTTACTGGTTTATATATTTACTATATTATATATTTTTATCATTATTTTAGTGTCCTTCTCCTACTTACATAAAAGTTAACTGTAAAGCAGTTTCAGACAAGACCTTTACGGAGGTATTCCAGGAGAAGGCATTGTTATTCTAGAAGAAGATAACTCTATGCATGTTACTGCCCCAGAATGCCTTCCTGTGGGACAAAATGTACAGGTAGAAAACAGTGACATTGATGCTCTTGACTCTGTGCAGGCCTAATTTGTGTCCTAGTTTTTGACAAAATTTTTAAAAGAACTGCTGAAAGAAATCACAGGAAAGAAATAATGGGAAAGCATTCCATACTCATGGATTGGAAGAAACAATATCCTTAAAATGGCCATGTTGTGCAAAGTAATATACAGATTCACTATTATCCCTATCAAACTACCAATGTAATTTTTCACAGAAATACAAAAAAAAAGCTATTTTAAAATTCATATAGAATTTTAAAAGTGCTGGAATATCCAAAACAGTCCTAAGCAAAAGAAAGTTGGAGGCATCACATTAGCTGACTTTATAGTACAGGGCTATAGTAACCAAAACAGCATGGTGCTAGTATAAAAACAGACACATAGAACAATGGAACAGCATAGAGAACCCAGAAATAAAGCCTTTTACCTACAACCATCTGATCTTTGACAAAGTCAACAAAAACAAACAATGGGGAAAGGACTCTGTATTCAAAAAACAGTGTTGGGATAATTGGCTAGTCATATGCAGAAGAACAAAACTCACCATATACAAAAATTAAGATGGATTAAAGACTTAAAATGTAATACCTAAAACTATAAAAATTCTAGAGGAAAGCCTAGGAAATATCATTCTGGACACTGGCCTTGGGAAATAATTTGACTAAGTCCTCAAAAGCAATTGCAAAAAAACCAAAAATTAACAAATGTGACCCAATTAAACTAAAGAGCTTCTGCACAGCCAAAAACAAAAAACCAAAACAAAATACCTACCAGCAGTATAAAGAGATAACCTATAGAATGGAAGAAAATATTTGCCCACTTTGCATCTGACAAAGGTCTAATATCCAGAATTTATGAAGAACTTAGACAACTCAACAAGCAAAAAACAAATAACCATATTAAAAAGTGGGCAAAGGACATAAACAGACACTTGGAAGACATACCGGTAGCCAGCAAACATGAAAAAATGCTCAACATCACTCATCATCAGAGAAATGCTAATCAAAACTGCAACGAGAAACCATCTCACCACCAGTCAGAATGGCTATTATTAAAATGTCAAACAATACCAGATCTTAATGAGGTTGTGGAGAAAAGGAAATGTTTATACATTGTTGACAGAAATGTAAATTAGTTCAGCCACTAAAGAAAGCAGTTTGGAGGTTCCTCAAAGAATTTAGGACTATCATTCAACGAAGCAATCCAATTCCTGGGTATATAACTGATACGGTTTAGTTGTGTCCCCACCCAAATATCATCTTGAATTATAGTTCCCATAATCCCCATGTGTCATGGGAGGGACCCAGTGGGAGGTAATTTAATCATAGGGGTGGGTACCATCATGCTTTTCTTTTCTAAGAATAGTGAGTGAGTTCTCATGAGAGCTGATGGTTTTATAAGGGGCTTTTCCCCCTTTTGCTTGGCACTTCTCCTTCCTGCTGCCCCATGAATGATGTGTTTGCTTCCCCTTCTACCCCGATTGTGATTGTAAGTCTTCTTAGCCCTCCCCCACCATGCTGAACTGTGAGTCAATTAAACCTCTTTCCTTTAAAAATTACCTAGTCCAGGGTATGTATGTATTAGCAGTGTGAGAATGGACTAATAAAATATCCCAGATAAAATAAATCATTCTACCAAAAAGACACATATACTCGTGTGTTCATCACAGCACTGTACACAATAGCAAAGACATGGAATCAATCGAGATGCTCCCCAACACTGGACTGGATAAAGAAAATGTGGTACATGTACAGCATGAAATACTATGCAGCCATCAGAAAAATCATTTCCTTTTCAGCAACATGAATGTATCTGGAGGCCATTACTCTAAGCAAATTAATGCAGAAAGAGAAAACCAAATGAGACAGCCAGGTGGGAGGGGATCCCCAGAAATACTCAAACTGACCTTACTGGGGTGGAGACACAGAAGTTCAAGCCCTTTGCAGAGGGGAGAAACCTAGCTCCTCCTCTTCCTATGTGGAACCTGGGATTTAAACCGTGGGCAGGAAACACTCTAGTGGGCAACCCTGGACTTGCAGACAGTTCCTGTTTCTCACTTCTTTTTCACCCAGTAAAACCCTGCTTTACTCACCCTCCCCAACCATCTGCAAGCCTAAATTTTCATGGCTGTGTGATGGACAAAGACTTGTCTTTAGCTGAACTAAGGAAAATTCCTTCAACGCAAATACCACATGTTCTCACTTATTAGTGGGAGAAAAACACTGGGTATGTATGAACATAAAGATGAGAGCAATAGATCCTGAGTACTACTGGAGGGGAGAGGGTGGGAGGGAGTAAGGGCTGAAAAACGACCTATTGGGTACTATGCTCACTTCCTGGGTGACAGGATCAATTTGGTACTCCAAGCCTCAGCATCACACAATATATCCACGTAACAAACTTACACATGTATCCCCTGAAAAGAAAAGAAAAAAAAAAATAGAAAAAAAAAAAAGATTAAAATAAAGAAAAAAACCTTAAAAATAGAAAAAACCGTACAAAGTAAGAATATAAAGAAAGAAAATATTTTTCTACAGCTGTACGATGTTTGTGTTTTAAACTATTAATATGTTCTTACCATTGTAGAGTCAAAAGTTTAAAAAAAATTCATAAAGAAAAAAGTTACAATAAGCTAAGGTTAATTTATTATGCCCTAGGCATTCACATTCACTCACCACTTACTGACTCACCCGGAGCAACTTCCAGCCCTGCAAGCTTCATTTATGGTATGTACCCTACATAGTTGTATTTTTTTTTTATCTTTTATACCATATTTTTACTGTATCTTTTCTATGTTTAGATATGTTTATATACACAAATACCATGTTATAATTGCCTACAGTATTCAGTACAGTAACTTGCTCTACAGGTTTGTAGCCTAGAAGCTGTAGGCGATACCATATAGCCTAGGTGTGTAGGAGGCAATACCATGGAGGTTTGTGAAAGTACATTCTATGATGTTCCAATGGCAAAGAAATTGCCTAATGACGCATTTCCCAGAAGTGTCCCCCCACAACCCCGACACACGCTCCACCCCCATTAAGTAACGCATGACTACCTCAGCAAATGTTAAAACTATGTAACTGTGTATAAGGCATGTCCATGGGTGTGTGAACCATCGAGTGTGGACAGACGAGCTCTCAGTGAAAGAATTTAGCGCTTAATACAGGACTCAAATCTTTAGAGAGAGCCGGCGGGTTTGAGCCTGGCTCTTCCCACAGGTCAGAGAAGGTTGACTTCCATTTTCCATGGAAGTCATGGTTAAGTATTTGGCTAACTACTCTGTAAATGAGAGTAATGACCTCTGATAATGGTAGACCGATTAAATGATAAAAGAAGAAGTCTTTAGCACATTCTCTCAGACATTCAATAAACTTGAATTACCTCTCTTAACATCTGGGTTTCAGATTGCTGGTTCCTTTGTAAAAACTTCCATATTTAGAATTATCTGGGCTATTTAATTACATTTAGTCATTTTGTCAGTTCTTTTAAATTATTTATTTTACTTGATTTCTCATATATTATGCTATGTAACAATGATTCAGTATTCTGATATCTGGGAATACATCGATGCTTCTTTGACAATCACTAATAGTTAATGAGTGCTTTGGGTCAAGAGTCACCTTTCCTAATGTATTTTTAAAGATCACTGAACATGTTTAAACTAGAATAAAGTTTCTTTCCAACTACACACATTATCATTTATTTTCTGCAACATTAAAAGTTGGTAGTAATAACAAAATGTTACATATATTATTTGTGAATTTTATAATAGTATAACAACTTTTGATTTTAGCCAAAAGTTTTCTTCAATTTGTCTCTTTTGTTCATTTAACCATTATAAAATATGAAATAATTATGTATTGTTAGCATTATCAGTCTGATTTTTAATGCTAAATAGGTAAATTTGGCTAACTAGAATAATTAAAAGTGATTGTAAATTATTATGTATTCCTCTCTTTTTTAAACTCAGTTAAGCTTTTAAGATTTAACCTTTTATGTAAATAATATTAGCTACATTAAAAATCCTGAATTGCTATTCTACTTTTAGTATGTACAAAATGCGTAGAAGAGAAGGCTTTTCAAAATCATGCAATAAATTCATGAGGAAACAAGGTGTCTTGTTTCACCTAGAAAAAAATAAAAAATCATCAACAACAACAACAATTAATACAATCAGCCACTGACTTTTGTAATCACGCTACATCTATTTTGATAAAGTGAGATAGAGAGGGAAAGATTAAGAGAGAAAGAGAGAGAGAGAAGGTAATAGGCGTTATTGACAAATCTTACTCTTACAATAATTTGATATACATTTACTAATATTCTGGTACTGTTTTTCTTTACTAAAATAAAATTTCTTTTCCAAATGAGGGAGATAATAGAAATCAATTAGCCCTTTCTTCTCCCAAAAATGTAGCCTGAGAGGAAAAAGAATTTTAAAAAAAGATCTTAATTTTTTTTCTAAACTTTATCAATTTTTTGTGGCTATAATTTAAAAATCTTCTCATTTTATGTTTGTTTTAAACTAAAATCTAAGGAAAAGTGAGATATAGGTATAGATATGGATATGCATAATTCAGGAGAGAAAAGAACAGTTTGTATTATGTTAAATGTTATTTAAATCAACGAATGGATATTTTGTGAGAAAAAAAATTTTAAATAATGCAGAATCCTCAAAAGTTTTTTAAAGCAACACTGTACCAGAGTTTTGTTTTACCATTGATTATACAGACTGATAGACAATTTAGGTTGCAAATGATACTTTTAAATGTAGGCAGGCTCTCAAGCACTTTAATCTACATAGGCTTATTTTAAATATGTTAAGTGATTGTTAGTGATTTCCTAATTTGCTTGCCAAATTCAAGAATTTATTTAGTGCCTGTAATTAAAGAAAAATATGTAGAGACACTGAGAAATCAACATAAGGCAAATCAGGATTTGTTATAGATAAATTTAAGGATCTCAGATATTATTAGTGGCTTATAGAAGCCTTCATGGGCTGATAATATGCTTAGTCATAAACCGTAAAGTTTTTACAGCCCAGTACCATTAGGCCAGGCTGGAAAAATCATTGTAGGTATTACAAAAGTTAACAAGCTTTCCTTTATTATTCTCAGCTGCGTAAAAAGTCTTTTGATCCTGTGTCCCTTTCCTGCCCCCCACCAAGTAAATATGCAAAATTCTTTTGATTTTATGGTCCTGGAATTTGCAGAAGCCCACCGAGTGATAGCTTCAATGGAAAACCTCTGGATTAGAGATTTTTGGTTAGTCTGTTTTGGGGGGTATATATATGTGTCTATTTCTGGAAATAATACATTTTCAGGGAAAAATTAAGTAGCATCAGATTATGACACGGGAAGAAGAATTTTGTGGTGGACTTTTGGAGGACTGCTTTAGACAAGTATTCAGGATATACTCTTTCAGAATGAGACCTTTAACCAGAATCATGAAAATGCTCGTGAAAAAATACTATGAGAAAGTTGGCGGAAGAATATTCTGGTCAAAGTAAACTATATTCAAAATCTCTGAGGTAAAAATTAGCATATACAAGAAACTGGTTTGGCATGAAATTATACACACACACACATATATAATATATACGAAGTATAAATAATATATATATGAAGAATTAATCAGAGAGCACATCATGTAGGTCTTTGTAGTCCATGGGAAGGAGCTGGTATTAGTCTACTTGTAAAGAAAGCTGTTGTTGTATTCTGCTCAATGGAATGTATGATACAGTTTATTTTACAAAGAGCCCAATCTGGTTGCCACAGTAGAGTGTACAGAGAAGTCAGAGTTTAAATAACCAGACTTGAGTCCATTTCCATGATCAAGAGTAAATAATAATGCTGACCTGGACTCCCACGTAAAGAAGGAAGAAGTTCCAGGGAAAAGTAAAAATTAATGGGATAAATTTGGGGTACTGTTTGGCCATTAAAGCAACAAATGAGGTTTAAGAGCAGATGAGGTCTAAATAAAAGGGAGGATTCAAAAATGATTTTTGTCCTAAGTAACTAGGTGAATGGTGGGTCTATGAAGGTACTTGTGTTCTTGGTTCTATGAAGATATCTGTAAAACAGAATTTATTAAACATTTTTCATATGGTTATTGCAAGGCAAATGTAAAAAACACAAAAAGCTATTATCTTTTATTACATCAAATGCACTCAAAAGTAAAATCTATTAGTAGAGATAAAGTGGTAAACATCTAAATCTACATGAATAAGCTTTGTCTAAAGACAAAAAAGCTGGACACTAGGAAAAGTTGGTTTAGGATCTTCCTTTAATGAAATTTATTTTCAGATGAGTCAGTAAAAATTTGTGAAAAAGGAATGCTATGTGGTCAGAAAATACAGAGTACACTGAAAATTGAATGTTTTAATTTGCTACTGTCTCCAGTTTGTAATGTGTCTTGTCATTTTAAAATTAGATTATTTAGATCAGTTTTTTTTTCTTTTTCATAGTATAAATGTTGGGAAATTCTGAATCTTTTTTATTCATCTTGCCAGCTCACGTGAAATAATCCTTGATACGGTACTGAATATTTTGTCTCTTAGGATGAAAAGAGCAACATTTGTGTATGTGACTATTTGCTGATTTTAAAAGTATGTTATATTATTTCTTTTTGGAAAAAATAGAGTCAGATTCAGAATAAAGCACAAGTAAAAATGAGTGATGCAATTTAGGAGTCAGTATTGCTGATTTTTTTTGGGAGATATTTTTAGTTTGGAATTCTCTTGTTCCTACATGAAGATTCTGGCCTTATTTCCCTGTTCTATTCCAATTCTTCTCTACAACTTACACTCAGGCACTCTCTCTCTCATTGCAGCTACATTAGCAACATAAAAAAATATTTAAACAACAATTGTTTTTCTAAATTTTGTTCTTGTCTCAAAATACATAGAAAACTATACGATTCCTTAACTCAAAGGGCTTGAAATATATTTTAGGATGGTAGGAATGAGCTTAAAACAACAATTAAACATACCAAAGTTTATGAATGATGAAAGGCAAAACCACTTCATCTATTACTTTATGAAATATAGAAGTTATTCTTGGATGATTTCACTTGCGTCCGTGTGAAAAGACCACCAAACAGGCTTTGTGTGAGCAACAAAGCTGTTTATTTCACCTGGGTGCAGGCGGGCTGAGTCCGAAAAGGGAGTCAGCGAAGGGAGATAGGGGTGGGGCCGTTTTACAGTCAAAGGGGGTTGTTCTCTGGCGGGCAAGGGTGGGGGGGTCACAAGTTGCTCAGTGGGGGAGCTTTTGAGCCAGGATGAGCCAGGAGAAGGAATTTCACAAGATAATGTCATCAGTTAAGGCAGGGACTGGCTATTTTCACTTCTTTTGTGATTCTTCACTTGCTTTGGGCCATCTGGACGTATACGTGTGCAGGTCACAGGGGATACAATGGCTTAGCTTGGGCTCAAAGGCCTGACAGATGACACGTCCTGTAAAGGATTTTTGCTGGAGAAATAATATGAGGGGATATCTGAATAAAGGGATAGAATTGAATGTATGAAAAGGAAGTAAAATACGAGTTAATATTCAAGTTATTCTTTCTTCCAGTTTCCTATTCACTATTGATTAAATGACTCAGAGAAGTCACAGGCTAACATGTAGATTTGTGTCTAGTAGAGATGCAAATAATTTGCACCTAGTTGAGCAAATAACTCTGGAGATAGTAGTTTATAGTTCCATAGACATTTGGCAGTTGCTTTTTAGAAAACCCAGCAATTTTTCTTCTTACAAGTATTTTAGCTTCTCAAATGCTCTTTGAACCAGCAATAACATTACGCTTTGTTCTCAGTTAATGTGTTAAAATATGCAATATACATCCAATTAATGTGAGCTTTATAATTTGACCTTCTTTTTTTTAATTTTATTATTTTTATACTTTAAGTTTTGGGGTACATGTGCACGACATGCAGGTTTGTTACATGTGTATACATATGCCATGTTGGTGTGCTGTACCCATTAACTCGTCATTTAGCATTAGGTATATCCCCTAATGCTATCCCTCCCCCCTCCCCCCACCCCACAGCAGTTCCTGGTGTGTGATGTTCCCCTTCCTGTGTCCATGTGTTCTCATTGTTCAATTTCCACCTATGAGTGAGAACATGTGGTGTTTGGTTTTTTGTCCTTGTGATAGTTTGCTGAGAATGATGGTTTGCAGCTTCATCCACGTCCCTACAAAGGACATGAACTCATCATTTTTTATGGCTGCATAGTATTCCATGGTGTATATGTGCCACATTTTCTTAAGCCAATCT